>NC_000009.12:37282727-37434242 GCF_000001405.40 Homo sapiens | reverse complement strand
GGAGCTGCATGGTCTTTTTACATCACAAATGATTGCATCCTTCCCTTCCTGCTGGCAGTAGGACATGGCTGCAGCCCAGTGCTTAGATTTTGTAGAAGCAGCGGTGGCGGCTGCAGCTTCATGCCCTGACTGCCCTCTCCTCAGACCAAGACCTGCCTTTTGAAGCAGTCCCCAGGCCGTGAGCTGAATTCCAGGACCTAGGGTGGGGGTGGGAGGGCAGTTTTCCTGGCTGTGGGCGACAGCCCTGACATCACACCCAGTGCTCCTTGCAGGCTGGGGTGGGGGAGGGACGGGAGAGTTTCCAAGGGCTGCAATAATGGGAGCATTCACTGGGGAAGGCAGCTGAAGACCTTTTGTTTAGGTTTCCATTCCAGAATCCAAATTAAGGGCAGAGACTGGCCCGGACAACCTAAGGCCCTGATCACTCTTAGTCTGGAGGCATAAACTCCACCAGCTACCTGAACAGATCTTAATATAAAGAATCATTAACTACGCATCAAGTTGTTAACTCACTGAGCAGGTAACAAAAACCCAAACCACAAAGTGTGGTCCCTGGACCAGCAGCATCAGTGGCATCTGGGAGCCGTGAGGAGCACACTCTGTCAGACCCCACCCCAGACCTGCTGAAATAGAAACTCTCGGGATGGGGCTAGCAACCTGTGTTTGATCAGTCACTCCTCCAGGTGATTCTGACGAACTCAAAAGTATGAGAATTGGCCGGACACTCATGCCTGTAATCCCAGCACTTTGGGAGGCAGAGGCAGGTGGACCATCTGAGGTCAGGAATTCGAGACCAGCCTGGCCAACATGGACAAACCCCATCTCTACTAAAAATACAAAAATTGGCTGGGCCTGGTGGTACACGCCTGTAATCCCAGCTACTCGGGAAGCTGAGGCAGGAGAATCGCTTGAACCCAGGAGGCAGGGGTTGCAGTGAGTTCAGATTGCACCACTGCACTCCAGCCTGGGCGACAGAGCGAGACTCTGTCTCAAAAAAAAAAAAAAAAAAAAAAATGTGAGAACCACTGCACTGTGGTAGCACAGAGGTAGCAACTGCCAGAGGCACTTCTGGTGCTGCAACTCAGACTTCGGTGGCACGGGCACTGACTGGCTGTTGCTCTTGTCTCTGAGCAGGGCTCAATGGGGCTGGTTCACCAAGTGTTGGAAAAACTGCAAACTGGATTCCCCAGCCACTATGGGAAGGAACTGGTGCTGCTAGATGAAGAAGTGCTGCTGCCACTCCCCCAAAGACAGGAAGGGAGGGCAGGAGGGAGCAGGCCCTTCCACACCCACGCTGACAAGGCCTGCCAGTGCAGCTGGCACAGCAGAAATGGGGTGTGCAGAGGCCTGGCCCCAGCCCCACAAAGCAGAAGAGAGAAGGGGGCTTTGTTGTGAAACAACAGCTTGAAAAACTGGCACGAGTTATATTGGCATTGTCATTACACTTTTAATTTTTCACAGCTAAACTGGTAATAGCAATTTATAGTAACAGGTTTTACACGAGTCACTGTGGTGTAACACATGGAGACATGTAGTCAGCCCACTTTGTTGTTGTTGTTGTTTTGGAGATGGAGTCTCACTCTGCCACCCAGGCTGGAGTGCAGTGGCACAATCTCGGCCTACTGCAACCTGTGCCTCCTGGGTTCAAGCGATTCTTCTGCCTCAGCCTCCCAAACAGCTGGGACTATAGGCATGCACCACCATACCTGGCTAATTTTTGTATTTTTAGTAGAGATGGGGTTTCACCATATCGGCCAGGTTGGTCTCGAACCCCTGACCTCGTGATCCACCCACCTCAGCCTCCCAAAGTGCTGGGATTACAGGCATGAGCCACCACGCCTGGCCCACTCTTTTTTTTTAAACAAATCCACTCACACCTACATTCTGTTCCTTTAGGGACAGAGACCCAGCAGAGCATGCGCAAGAGGACTGCTCCTGTCATACACCCATGTCACTGACAACATAAACATTTACGATCCCTGGTGTGTCCCTTTGGGTTCAACACCTGCTCACACTAGCTCCACACCCGGCCCCTTGGGACCCCCTCAAAAACACTGGTCCTGCAGGGCAGCAGGGAGTTTGCATCAGAAAGTGCAGTTCTTACCACAGTTCTTCAGGGTCAGGAGAGGGTGGTTTGTAGGCAGTGGTTCTGGGCTCGTCACATCCAGTCCAGCAGCTGCAATCTTACCACTGGCCAAGGCCTGGTACAGGTCGTCCTGGTTTACGACGTCGCCCCTGGGAATGACAGTGGTGACATGGGTACCCCGAAGATCCCTCCGCCCAGGCCACCTTTGAGGCAGAACAACCTACAGAATGAATTTTTCCACTCACTTGGCACTGACTTTTAAAGCAGTAAGTCTTAGGTATACTTACAGTATGTCTGTAAGTCTTATATACTCAGAGAACTCCAGCCCTGCCTCCTTCTAGCTGTGTGACCTTGGGCAAGTGTCTCAAATTCTCTGTGCCTCGAATTATCTGTGTCTCAAATTATCTACTCTGTGAGATAAGGAGAATACCACCTAACTCCCAGGCATGTTGGGAGGATTAAAGCTTTCTTACATGCTCTACTGCATGAACAGGGCCCAGAAGGGCATCTGTGTTAGGCCCCATCCAAGTGTTTCTGATCTGGTTGACCCCCAGACCCCCACTGAGAAGCACCACAGTGTGCTATCAGGTACCTGTCTAAACCAGGGCAGAGGAACGAGCACACCCCTAACCACAGCCATCAAAGGGAGCGGCGACTGAAGGCAAGAAGTCATCTTCTAGAGACTGTATATTGTGCACTAAGTAATACTTGTGCACTAATGAGTAATACACGGTCCTGGGCTGTCCTGGGTACATGCAGGCACCCAGTACACGGCAGCTGTGACTGCTGCCAGCCAGCAGTGCGAGCCCTGTGGTCCTGCATGTTTCACTCTTCCATTCCCAGGTCACCTGTTTTGTAGCTAAATGTTGGTAATTACAGGTACCTTTGGGGTGGACGAGTCCTCAGGATGACCTCACCCAATCCCCCTTCCCCTAAACTGATGTAAACAGGCTCAAGGGGCACCAGCTAGGAAGGGCTTGGAGTGGCAGAGAAGGAAGGTCTGACCTCCATACATGCCCAGTGGCCTGAAGGCACCCCTAGGGACAGTGTGAGGAGCTACGACCACGTGAGTTTTAGGGTCTGTCCGCCCAGGAGCATAAGGTTCAAAGTATCACTGAACCACAGCCAGACAAAGCCAGGCTCAGCAGTGTGGGAGGCGGCCTCCAGAGGGCCCTTCAGATCCTCAAGTCCAGCCCTTTGTGGTGGAGGATAATGGGCCTGCAGAGGCTCCCTGGGAACACTCCCTGAAGCCACGCTGCTGTGTGCCAGGCCCCGCCGGGTGGGGGCCACTGCTGAGAAGCAGACAGGCCAGGCCCACTCTGACGGCTCTTCTTCCCTGTACGGAGGTCTCGTGTATTCCCACGAATTTCTGAGTTGGTTGTTTGGTTTATGGAAACCAGCAAGCTCAGCCTGGGGTCTCACCAACAACCCACGGGGAAGAAAATCTCCAGATGGCAGCAGTGGGGATGGCTCCTCTCCAGGCTTGCTGGGTAAGGTGGCCCTAGGATACCTGCTGATGTTGATGAACACAGCTGTTTCCTTCATCTTCTGGAAGAAGTCCTTGTTGCAGAGTCCCTCGGTTGCAGGTGTTAAGGAGCAGGCCACGACGATGAAATCAGATTGGGCAGCCAGCTCAGGGGTAGACACTGAGGGAGGGCAGGACTCCATCAGGCACTGAGTCCCAGGCTAGGGACAACCAGATGGCGGGAGACCAGCCCCTTGCTCCCGACTCCCTAACAGAAACTCCCAAGATGCTTCCTGAAGGCCGAGTCTCTACCTGGACAACTCTCATGAGTGCACAAAGTCAAATCACACACAGTGGGATCTGGACCACTCTGGCTTTAACTACCTTCAGGGCCCAAAGTGCCCAGGGGCGTGGGGAATGCTTGAGATCCAGCCTGCCATCTGCTCACCAGGCTGTGGACCCGCCAGGTGCTGGATCCGCCTGGACTAAGGGGCGCACACAAAGGCTAGGGTAGTGCTTGCCAGTTTATGAAGGAAAAGACAGTGAAAGTGCCCAGCCCTTCCTCACACCCACCACCATCCCCGCTGCTCCGCCCACAATGGGGAATGGTAACAAAGGACTCTGAAAGACGGGAGCCCTGGACTGCTCTGCTGGCTCGGAGAGGACCTGGGTAAGTCCCTGTGCTCCCTGAGTGGGCCAGTGTCCAGGGGCAGGTAGATTAAACATCTACCAGACAGCAGCCCCTGGACATGCCTGGAGCTCCTGCCCTCTGCCTGAAAATGCCACCATTGAGAGAAAATACAGCCTCTCAACTGGGCACAGATAGGCTCCTGTGGAAATCAAGGCTTCACTTACCAAACTCTGCCTGGAATTCTGCTGCTTCCTCAGGCCTGGGCTGGCGCCCTGTGTACAGAAATCTCTGGACACCGAATGGTTTCAGACGCCGAGCAATGGCCTGGCCTAGAGCAAGGAGAGTCCATGTCTCGTTCCCAGTCCCGCAAAGGGTAGGGACACCACCCAGCATTTCTGGAACAGCGGCCCTCAGGGCAGACCCTTTTCATCAGCACAGCCCGAGTTGCCTGCTCCTGTCTCCTCCAAAGCGGGTGGGGGGCTGGCTGCCCCACTGTAACTAGCCCCCAGCCAGCCCACACTGCCCCAGGGATCTGGAGACAGCACCTCAGCTCCCCTGAGGCTGTGACTGGCTGATGCTGTCCTCACATGGTCCAAGCCATCTGGAAAGCCACTCAGGTTTTTCCTAACCTCTGAGAACTGGAGAGGTTTTCACAAGGGAGACACCTGGTCAAGCAGTCCCCTCCTTTGTCCTGGACCCTCTGCTTCTGTGAATGCAGTCTCAGACCCCATTTGACTTTTTGGTGGCACTGCCAAACTGCCAGCTCACCCCAAACTTACAATTTTCATGTAAGCTGCTGCTGAGACAGATTTGTACAGTTGGATTTTCAGGCTCAGAACGTGCCCCAAAGCTGTTGGGTTCCTCCAAGCAACTCTCTAGTGAGAGGCAGGGCTGTTCGTTGGCTAGACAGGTTCTCCACACTCTCCACCCTCACCCGCACCCCTGCACCAGGCAGGATGACAGAGAACCACCAATAGATAGCTGCTTGGCTAGGCTCACGCCCTTCTGCCAGGCTTCTCCAAATAAGGGCCACTGGAAGAAAAGTGTCTCTGCCTCATCTGCAGAACTGCAGATCAACTCTGCCCACTGAGCCCTCCGGCCCGAGTTAGGGCTTTGTGAGTCACATACCTTCCAGAACGCAAGCCGGAGTAGGTGTCGGGGGAATGGGCTCTCTCACGGTAACCACTCCTAACGGCCCCAACACATTTGTAGTCTTCATCTGTTCTTTATGGAGCCGGAATCATGAAGCCCCCTGACCCTTAGGCAACTTGCTTTTATCACCTGGTGAGTTCTTAAGGAATCCTGCTTTGGTTTATTTATGTATTTGCCTGTGTTTTACAAAGCTGTATCCCTCATTAGAGATATCTCTACTGCAAGCAAAGTGCCCTGACAGCATGTGGGTCTTCTCAGCCTTCAGACACGTGGTGCCAGGGATGCAAACCACGCTGTGAGAGCCGGGGCGGGCAAGCGGGCCGGTGGGAGCCTCACCTATGCGCCCCAGCCCGATGATGCCGACAGTGCTCTGCGTGAGTCCATAGCCACACAGCCAGAGGGGCTTCCACGAGGTCCAGCCACCACTGAGGGGAGAGAGAGGGGCAGGTGAGAGGCCCAGCCTTGGACCAAGATGGGGGCCGCTGAGAACCCGGCACCTCTGACTGTGGTCCAAGGTATAAACCCACCCTCCAGGTCACGGACTGAGAGTGGGATGAGGCACTGCCACTCGGCACTGCAGATGAGCAGCAGAAACGACTCCACCTTTAAAGCCACCAGAGACATAGAACTTGAGGGCGGGAAGGGGCCTTACTGGCTCTCATCCTGTTTTGCAGATGGGAAAACAAACCAGAAAGGGTGACTTGCCTGAGGTCACACAACCAGGGAAGAGTTGAGAGCAACAGGCTGCAAACTCAGGATTTATGATTCCAAAACAAGTTCTCTTGGCACTTTAGGGCAGCAACAAAGAGTACAGCCACAGGGCCCACCCTGCTGCCCTGGGCAAGAGATGGAGCCTGCCCTGAGCCACCTCCAGTAGATGTGATGACTCCCCAGACAGGACAGTGAGCAGGACTCAGCACTGTCTACTCTGCTCCATGCCCCGTGCCGGGGCCCACGCTGCTGGCCACGCACTGTGAGAGCCTGCGTTTGCACGCCTCCCACCTTGACTCGGGCCAGTCCCTCCATCTGCACATGGAATGCTTCCCCCAACTTTTTTTTTTTTTTTTTTTGGAGACAGGGTCTTGCTGTGTCGCCCAGACTGGAGTACAGTGACATGATCTCGGTTCACTGCAGCCTCTGCCTCCTGGGTTCAAGCAATCCTCCCACCTCAGCCTCCCGAGTAGTTGGGACTACAGGCGTGTAACACCACGCCTGCCTAATTTTTGTATTTTTTGTAGAGACAGACTTTTGCCACATTGCCCAAGCTGTTCTCCAACTCCTGAGGCTCAAACAATCTGCCCGCCTCGGCCTCCCAAAGTGCTGGGATTACAGGTGTGAGCCACCGTGCCCGGCCAACTCTAACTCTTGATATACAGGCCGAAATCCCTGATCTGAAACCTTCAGGCTAGATTTTAAAACTGTTTGGCCTTTAGAAAGGCAGCATGGCGCACGTGGTAGATTCCACACATCACCCTCTGCAGTGTCTGGGCAGCAGCCTGTTTTAAAAGTGTTACATCTGCAGCAAAACTTAGGAAAGTCACATTAAATGGGAGAAATAAAAGCCTTAAATAGTCTCCTGTTAGTATGAAAGAACTTTCAGCTGTCCGAGCTTTTTAGATTTTGGGATCTAAGGGATGGTGGACCTGCAGCTTTCAGGACTCAAGCGGACGCCCACCTGCTACTTATTCTGTGAAGCCCTCCCTGATCCACACTCTCCCTGCCAGCCCTCACCCACCAGCAGAACTTGTTTGTCCTCCCTCATCCTCTTCTCTCACCACTTCCCTTTCTGCCCTTATTGCAGCTCTGCTTTGTGCTTTATTTTAGCTGAGTCCTCACTCAATGGGGCACACCTGGGGTCAGGGACTATGCGTGGGCTGGACTGGCACAGTGATCAGGATCCAGTGCTGAGCAGAGCCAACGTTCCTGCCAGGCGTTCACTTATTTTTCTTTTTTTTTTTGAGACAGAGTCTCACACCGTCACCTGGGCTGGAGTGCAATGGTGTGATCTCAGCTCACTGCAACCTCTGTCTCCTGGGTTCACATGATTCTCCTGCCTCAGCCTCCCAAGTAGCTGGGATTACAGGGACCCACCACCACACCCAGCTAATTTTTTTTGTATTTTTACTAGAGACGGGGTTTCACTATGTTGGCCAGACTGGTCTCGAACTCCTAACCTCATGATCCGCTCACTTTGGCCTCCCAAAGTGCTGGGATTACAGCCGTGAGCCACCGCACCTGGTCTGCGTTCACTTACTTCTTCACTTCCTCGATGGCCTCCGGCAACCGGCGGCAGGTGGTAAGTAGCAGGGAGACTGCGAGTTCGGCGGTGGTATCTGTCAGGACATCTGGGGTGTAGCCAACTCGGATCCCACTACGAATCAGACATCTGGTGGTAACATCAGCCTCAACCATATTTACCAATGTCTACTGCTGGGACATTTCCATGGAGTTACTTTGCTCCCTCTTTGATCTGCCTGCCAGGAAGCTCAGAACTATAAATGAGCACTCAAAAACGGGCAGTCCTCATTCCTATTTAGATTATCTCCCACTTTGGAAGGATATGAAGATGGAAGATCAGGGTTCAGGGACTGAACAAGTAACTTAACCTTTCTGAATTTCCTCATCTGAAACAGAAAGAATAACACCTGCCTTTGCTACTTCAAGGTATTGTTGTGGGGATCAAAAAAGATAATGAATGTGAAAGGGTGCCACCTACACAGAAGTTACCCACTGTTTCTGACTGCTGGGGTTTATTGTAACTGACCTGTGCACATGTGGACAGATTCTATCATCAGCCACCTCACATTCTCCCTGAATGGCCGAGGGATATGCAGTAAAAACAAATCAACAGCTCTTCTTTCTCTCATAGCCACCCCTCTCTCTAGGCCCCCTCCAGATCCCAAGCTGCAGTTACCGCTTCTTGATTTCATCCAAAGCCAAGTGGTCGATGCCCACAGACATGGTGCTGATGACTTTGAGATTGGCCCCTGTTGTGCAGAAAGTGCATTGTTAGTATCTTTCCTCGAGGAACTCAAAGCCACAGCACTGGGGACTATCATGGGGACACCGCTTATTATTGTTTTCTTAGAATAAGAGGCTGACATCTCTGTTCTTCAGTTAAAACTCTGAATAATCCCCTTTGACAGCCTCAGACACTGCAGTTCAGGGAGGTTAAGTGGCCTGGCTCAGTCACAGGCAGAGCCGGGTTCACCTCAGGGCCTCTGCCACCAAGGCCCCGCTCTTACCCACTGGACTGTCCACCCAGCGAGGCCTCCGGTCTTCTTTAGCCACGCTGGGGCCTCCCCCATGGACACCTCTGAGAGTGCCAAGAAGGTGGCTGGGACGTGACCCTCTCTACCCTCTCCTGCAAGCAGGACACCACAAAGCTTCCAGGCCAAGGCCAGGATGTGGGGCGGCTCAGCACTGACTCACAAGGGTCCCTTCCCATCTGGCAGCCTCTGAGTCTGAACCTTTTCTCAAAACTGTCACAACAGCCTCACAGGGGGAGGTTTATTCTTCCATGGGCTGAGACCCGTGGCTGCGGTTGAGGAAAGACATCCTGCTGGGGCTTGGCACTGAGCTAGGTCCTCCCTCATACTACGCACACGCCCAGAAGGGGCAGGGTCTTGCTGGAGGTCACAGAGCAAGGTTGTGGCAGGGCTGGAGAACCCAGGGCCTTGGATGCACTTCCCCACACCCACAGTCTCCACACCGCGGTCTTTGCCCTCCTAGGGTCCCCCGCCAAGGGGTTCACAGCAGGAGGGAGGGGCAGTGCCTGTGCCAGAGCAAGCTATCTGCCCGCTCGGGCCTGGTATCGCAGGAAACGCCCTCAGAACCCAGACAGCACTGCAGAGCAGCCAGGAGCCAGCAGCACAGGCTGAGGGGCCCACAGGGCCAAGCCACCCTCAAGTCCCCTGCCCACCCAGTGTGCACCTGCAGCATCCAGGATCCTCTTGTCCACGTGGTCGGAGAGGAGGCAGAGCAGGCCGTGGGCCCCCGCCACACCTCGCTCTAGCTCCTTGGCAGGGATGGGCTCATCCGAGTCCCACTGCTCCACCTCACAGCTGCGGGGAAAGGGAGGCCCTCAGGAGAAGCAGGAGCCGCACACCTGTCCCCGCCCCTCCCAGCTGGGAATCCTGGCCTCTGATGGCCCTGGCCTCAGGCTGCCCGGGGCTGGCTGAGGGGAGGCAGGGTCAGGCAGGGGTGGTCTCAGAACTGTCCCGAGACAGCAGGTGACAGGTGAAGGGCTGAGGGGCCCCCCAGCAGAGCCTAAGCTGCAAGGGGGAAGGCATGGGGACAGCTCTCAGGTCAGCACAGAGAAGAGCTTTCCCACATTCACAGGGGCTGGGCGGCCAAGCAGGCGGCCAACTGCAGGGAAGGCCCGTGGGGGGCAGGGTGTGCCTCAGGTGGGGGGCCTGGATTCAATGGCCTGTTGCATCTCTTCCTGTCCGTGGAGTCCATGAAATAGAAAACTCTCATAGTTGGACTGGGCCAGGAAAGATAAGGTCAAGGCCACCCAACGCTTCCACGGCAGCTCACAGCAACCAGATATTTGTCCCAGTGATGCACGGTGCCTCCTGGCCCTTGCCATGGAATTCAGTACAGTCAGCACGTGTGGAGCCTCTATGTGGCAGGACACAGGATAGCTACTTGCACCTCCTGACTGAGCCCAGGGCACTGACCACCTTTCATCCACCTCCCCATGAGCAGGGTACAGCGTGAGCTACTGTTACCATGGGCGCGGTTGCTGCCTTCCACCTTCTCCTGCTCAGTACAAAGTGGGTCCTTGGCAAAGGTTTTGTTGCAGTGAACAAAATTTGAAAATCTCATATGCCCCTAGAACTGGCTGCTGAGGCTGGATTGCATCCTCTTCCTATCTAACATTGGAAACACAAACCTGATCAAATGCAGTGATCAGACAGCAGTCAGACACTTCTGAGTACAAGCCCCAGCTCCTCCACCTGGGAGCTGCATGGCTTTGGGAAGAAACTTAACCCTAAGTCCAGCCTCCAGTTTTTAATCTGTGCAATGGGAATTATAATACTGACTTCACAGTGCTACCAGGATTAAAAGTTTATGTATATGAAGCACCTGGCAAGGTTGGCCCACAAAAAGGGTTCCATTTAGCAAGGGTGGGCCAGGTGCAGTGGTTCATGCCTGTAATCCCAGCACTTTGGGAGGCTGAGGTGGGAGGATCCCTTCGTACAGGAGTTCAGGACCAGCCTGGGCAACACAGTGAGACCCTCGTCTTTGAAAAAAATAAAAAATTAGCCAGGCATGGTAGTGCATGCCTGTAGTAGTCCCAGCTACTTGGGAGGCTGAGGTGGAAGTATCTCTTGAGTCCAGGAGGTTGAGGCTGCAGTGAGGTATAATGGTGCCACTGCACTCCAGCCTGGATGAGAGTGAGACCCTGTCTTAAAAATTAAAGGGTCCTCAGGCCAGTCATGGTGACTAACACCTGTAATCCCAACACTTTGGGAGGCTGAGGCAAGAGGATTGCTTGAGCCCAGGAATTTGAGACCAGCCTGAGCAACAGAGTGAGACCCCCATCTCTACAAAAAAAAAATCAGAAAATTAGCCGGTAGTGATTGTTTGCGCCTGTAGTCCCAGCTACTCGGGAGGCTCAGGTGGGAGAACTGATTGGGCCCAAGAAGTCGAGGCTGCAGTAAGCCACGATCGATCGAGCCACTGCACTCCAGCCTGTGCAGCAGAGTGAGACTGTCTCAAAAAAAAAAAAAAAAAGATAAGTAAATATAAAGAAGAAGAGTCATCAAAGCCCCCTGCCAAACGTCCAAGGGCCTGGTCAGTGACCGCCATGTCCCTGACCCCACATGTCCTGTGGGAGCGTGGAGAATTAGCCTGGACCTTGCCTCAGGGGCAATCTCCCCTCTCCAAAGCCGGAACTGCAGGTCCCAGCGTCGTCTTAAGAGGAGAACTGGGCCCCAGAGAACTTTCTCCGAGACTCCCCAAAACTCCAAGCCTGCCCCAGCCGGCCACAAGGCCCAAACGCCCCGCCCGGCTCTCCGGTCCCTGGGACCGCCCTGCTCCCTCCTCCACGGCGCGCGAGGCTCTTACTCTGCCGCCCGGGCGAGCGCGACCCTACCCTCGGCGGGTATCCTGCGGGTGACGAACACCTTCATGAGTCGCACCGGTCTCATCCGCAGTGCAGCCGCCGACCCGGACCTGGCAGTACAGAAGCTGGCCCGGGAATGTAGCTGGGCCGGGGCGGGGCCAGGCTGGAGTGGGCGGGAGAGACGTCGCGCGCGGCGTGCGCAGGGGGTGTGGCTTCGCGAGAGGGAGCGCCGGGTTGCGGCTGAGCGGTGACTGTGCGTGCTCGGGGAGTGACAGTAACAGTGACCCTACACAGTGTCCTTGTGTGTGTGTGGGGGGGTGCGCCTCGTGCCACTGGGGAATCAGGGCCCCGGGGGAGAGGGGGCAGTATCCCGTCCAAGGCCTCATGGGAGCCCTGCTTTTTCTACACGCTCAGGGTCCTGTTTCCACAGGCTCAGGCCTTAAGAGACTGAAAGCCCCCACTTTTTCTGTCTCTTGGGTTGGCCCAGGGTAGAAACCCAGGTTCCAGGCTGTGAGGAAGTCCAGGACACACAGAGAGGTCACGTGTAGGTGTTCAGGCCAACAGCACAGCCAGGGGCCCGGCTCACAGCCACCGTCAATGACCAGAGGTATGAGTGAGGAAGCCTTCGGGTGACTCCAGGCCAACTCCCACCTGACTACAGCTAAAACTGCAAGAAAGAGCCTTTAGGAGAATCACTGGCTGAGCCCAGTCAACCCCGGAACCATAAGAGATGATAATGCACTGACTGCTGTTGCTCTAAGCCGTTCAATTTTGGAGTAATTCTTTATGCAGCAATAAATAAGTGATACGCTATGTGTGCGAAAGCCAGAAGCCATAAGAGTACAACTAATTCTCCATTGAAAAATTAACCGTACCATCCTGAATGCATCTGATCTTGGAAACTAAGCCTGGTTAGGGCTTGTATGGGAGACTGCCTGGAAATACCAGGTGCCTGGAAATACCAGGCTTATGTTTATCTTAAAAAAAAAAAATTAACAAAATCATAAGACAACAAACCGGGAAAAATACCATATATTTGCAACTCATTTTATAGACAAGGGGTTGATTTACTTATTGCACAAATAGTTCCTAAGACAAAGATGCCCAGCTTATCTGAATAAGCAAAGGATATCAATGGACAGTTTATAGAAAAGAAAATGGCCTTTAAATGTATGGCTGGGCGCGGTGGCTCATGCCTGTAATCCCAGCACTTTCGGAGGCCGAGGCAGGCGGATCACTTGAGGTCAGAAGTTTGAGACCAGCCTGGCCAACATGGTGAAACTCTGTCTGTACTGAATATACAAACATTAGGTGGGCATGGTGGCACATGCCTGTAATTCCAGCTACTCAGGAGGCTGAGGCAGGAGAATTGCTCATGAGTCCAGGAGATGGAGGTTGCAGTGAGCCGAGATCCCATCACTACACTCCAGCCTGGGTGACAGAGTGAGACTCCATCTAAAACAAAAAAAAACAAAACAAACAAAAAAAAAAAACAAAAGATGAAAAGTGCTCAACTTGACTCACAAAAGAACTGCATATTAAAATTACAGCAAGATACCAATGTAAAAAATAATACATTGGGGAACCAGGTGCTTTCATACGTTGCTGGTAGGAGTGTAAATCAGCAACTTCAATAAGAAAGTTTGGCAGTAGCTATCAAAGTTTAGACTGCACATCTTTTTTGACCCAGAAATTTTGCTTTTAGGAATTTACCTTACAGACGCGTTCACACATGTGCAAAATGCCATCTGCCAAAGGCTCTTCATTGTGGCATTGTTGGAATAGTAAAATATGGGAAACAACCTAAAGGTCCACTCATAGGGGACTGTTCATTACGTATGCTTCATTCCCACAGTGAAATACTCTGCATCAATCAAAAGAGTGAGGCAGCTCTGTGCGTACCAGTGTGGAATGATCTCCAAGATGTACTGTCCAGTGAGAAAACAGGGTGATGCAAAGTGCATATGTTACCATTTATAGGAGAAAGTATATGCCTATTCTTTTTTTTTTTTTTTTTTTTTTTTTTTTGAGACAGGATCTCAGTCTGTTATCTAGGCTGGAGGGCAATGGTGCAATCTTGGCTCACTGCAACCTCTACCTCCTGTGCTCCAATGATCCTCCCGCCTCAGCCTCCTGAGCAGCTGGGACCACAGGCATGTGCCACCACACCCAGCTAATGTTTTGTATTTTTTGTAGAGACAGGGTTTCATTATGTTGACCGGGCTTGTCTCGAACACCTGGGCTCAAAGCGATCCACTTCCAAAGTTCTGGGATTACAGGCGTGAGCCACGACACCTGGCCACCTATTTCTGTGTGTTAAATATCCCTGGAAAGATGTACAAGAAACATCTTTCTTGTTTCTTTGGGAACAGGCCAGGTGCAGTGGCTCATGGTTTGTAATTCCAGCACTTTGGGAGGCTGAGTCAGGAGCATTGCTTGAGCCCAGGAGTTTGAGACAAGCCTGGGCAACATAGCGAGACCCTGTCTCTACAAAAAAAAATTTTTTTTTAATTACCCAGGCGTAGTGGTGTACACCTGTAGTCCCAGTTACTTGGGAAACTGAAGTAGGAAGATTGCTTGAGCCTGGGAGGCTGGGGCTGCAGTGAACTGTGATTGTGCCACTGCACTCCAGCCTGGGCAACAGAGTGAGTGAGACCCTGTCTCTAACAAAAAAAAAAAAAAAAAAAGAAAAAGAAAAAAGAAGAAACTGGGGACAGTGGCTGCCTCTGGGGAGAAGACCTGGTGAACTGGGACAGAGTAAGAGAGACACAATTTTCACCCTTTGGGAATTTGCATCTTGTGCATTTATTATCTACCCTCAAAATAAAGAAAACATTCATTTAAAAATAGCACTTGGCCAGGCGCGGTGGCTCACGCCTGTAATCCCAGCACTTTGGGAGGCTGAGGCGGGTGGATCACCTGAGCTTAGGAGTTCGAGACCAGCCTGGCCAACATGGTAAAGCCCCGTCTCTACTAAAAATACAAAAAAATTAGCCAGGCTTGGTGGCAGGTGCCCATAATCCAAACTACTCAGGAGGCTGAGGCAGGAAATTGCTTGAACCCAGGGGGTGGAGGTTGCAGTGAGCCAAGATCACGCCACTTTACTCCAGCCTGGGCGACAGAGCGAGACTCTGTCTCAAAAGAAAACAAAAGACAAACAAACAAAAAAACTCCGTCTCAAAAATAAATAAATAAAATAAAATAAATAAAAATAGCATTTGGCCAGGTTTGGTGGCTGATTCCTGTAATCCCAGCACTTTGGGAGGCTAAAGCTGGAGGACTGCTTGAGGTCAGGAGTTCAAGACCAGCATGGGCAATATAGGGAGGCTCCCCCACCCTGTCTTTACAGAAAAATTTAAAAGTTAGCTGGTTGTGGTGGCTGAGTCCCGGAAGGCGGAGGCCGGAGTATCACTTCAGCCCAGGAGTTCAAGGTTACAGTAAGCTATGATTGCACCCCTGCACTCCAGCCTGGGCAACAGAGTAAGACTCTGTCTCAATAATAATAATAGTAATAGTCTCTAAAACACTTCTTTTCTTGCTGTCATTTTGAATCCTTGCACACTAAATATCAATTCCCCTGCCTTAGCTGTGGCCTTGCCCCTTCATCGCTCAGGTGTCTCCCAGGCTGCGCTTCTACGCTGATGACTCTGGAGTGAGCAGCTCCAGCCCCCATCACCCAGCTTCAGAGCCATAAGCCGCCTCTCTCCTGCCTCCTCCACCTGAGCATCCTCAGGTATCTGGAACTCAACACCTGCCAAACCCAATTCATCCACCTTCTCCCCAATACCTCACCTGACACCTGCGCTCCTCCCACATATCCATCAAAGGGACAGCCACCCCAAGCCAATACCTAGAAGTCACCCCTCACTCATGTATTTCACCCCTCCCACTCCACAGGCTTGTATTGTGGTTGAGAGCTTGGGTCTGGAGCCAGGGTGCTGGGTGTGAATCCAAGCTCGGCCTCTTGGTAATGGTGTGACTTAAGCAAATGACTTCATCTTTCTTGCCTGCAGCTTCCTGTCTGTAGACTGGGGAGAGCAACATATGCACCCCACAGATACTGAAACATGGAAACGTTAGTGAGTGACCATGTCCAGTGCTCAGGGCAGTGTCTGGAACTAACTAAGAGCTCCCGAAATGCCAGCTACTTATTATGATGACTGGTTTTACCCAATGAAGCCCAGGTCAGGCCTCCTCTGCTTAGCAGATCCCTCTTCCTGTGCCCTCAGCTGGCTCTGTTCCTACCACCCAGTAGCACTTATTGAGCCCCAGCTGTGTGCATTGCTTTGGGGGAGGGGACCCATTAACCTTCCGTGTCCCCTCCTGGCCCTGGTGGACAGGTTTCTCCCATGCCCAATGCCCTTGTTTGTACTTGTGTGTAGGAGGAGCTGGGCTCAGGATTAACAGAGAACACTCACTGGTTAACAGAGGCCGAAGGGCCTGGCCTGGGGACAGAAAAACACCTCTTTTTGTCAATGTTTGATGTGTTTCAGAAATGTTCCCTGGCCTGGGAACACAGATAATGGCCTGAGGGTAAGACACTTATTAATGTGTTACTTAAGAGAGGGAGGTAGCAGGGTGGAGCTGTGGCCGGGATCCAGGTGGCCCAGGGACTTGCTGTGTGATCTTCAGCGGGTGATGTCACCTCTCTGTGAATATCATACCAGTTCCCTCATTTGGGCCCTCATGGGGCAGAATGTATTCAGATCAAATCAGTGGAGAAGAGGTCACTCTGTTGTCCACTGGGCCTCCCAGGCCTAGGAGCAGGTAACTGAACAGCCCTGGAACAGAAGTGAGGCCCCCGGAACCGAGGGGCAGGCCTGGGCCCCTCCGCTTGTCCTAAGCTGGCTTCGGCTTCTGTGTCTCTGACCAACGGCCATCCCAGGGCACCAGGGTTGGTTTCCTTGAATGGATTTGTATTTGTGAAGTACCCATATATGTGTGTTGTGCTGTTGTAAGCACTACATATATCCTCTCAACAAGCCAGGAGGCAGGTGCTATTATTATCCCCATGTTACAGATGAGGAAATGGAGGCGCACAGAAGTTTTTAATAATGTCTTGTTAGTGGTAGAGTGGAGTTTAAACCCACTGGCTCCAGAGCCTGGGCCCCTCACTTCTCTCCCCCATAGCTTCAGTGCCTGATGAATGTCTAGCATGGCCCAGGGCCCATGCAAATGCTGCCTTGTGTGACAATCGCAGTAACCCTCAAGGGTAAGTGTTATACCCATTGTGTGGCTGAAGAAACTGAAGCTTAGGAAGATGATCTAACCTCACCAAGGTCAAACAGCTTGTAAGCGGGGGAGCCAGGATGCAGACGACCTGCAAACCCTGGGGCTGCCGTGACCTCACATGGTCCCATGCACTTCCTCCAGCCAGTCAGCAGGTGACCCAGGCCTGGGTGGCTCATAATATTGGGCGTTTCATACAGGGAACTACACCAAGTATTGAAGAGGTCATTTCTGGATTGAGACTGCCCCTGTCCAGGCTCCTGAGAGTACACACATCAGACCAGTCTCAGAGACCAGTCCGTGTGACCAAAGGCGCTTGCCTGGAACAGTGTGGCCAACGTGGAACAGACCTAGCATGGATGGTCAGGACACCCAGGCCCTGGGAATGGGAGTGGTCCCTGACCGCATCCCCCAGCCCATTCTGACAGCCCGTCCACATGGACACAGACACCTTAACACACTCAAAAAGGACTCTCCTCAGGATGACCTTCACTCCCACCCCCAAACCCTAAGATATACCTGCCAGTCCCCCAGCCTCTGGGGCAGTGGGTGTCATCCTTGGCCGCGTCACCCTCCAAACAAATCTCAGGGCTGGATGGCATTATCATCTCTTCTGGTTCCAGGGTTGACTGGGCTCAGCCAGTGTTTCTCGTTCGGGCTCTTTTGTGCAGTTGTAGCTGTAGTCAGATAGGAGTTGGCCTGGAGTCATCCGAAGACCTCCTCACCCATACATCTGGTCATTGATGCTGGCTGTCAGCTGAGCCCCTGGCTGTGCTGTTGGCCTGAACACCTACACATGACCTCTCAGTGTGTCCTGGACTTCCTCACAGCCTGGAACCTGGGTTTCAACCCTGGGCCAACCCAAGAGACAGAAAAAGTGGGGGCTTTCAGTCTCTTCAGGCCTGAGCCTGTGGAAACAGGACCCTGAGCGTGTAGAGAAAGCAGGGCTCCCATGATGCCTTGAACAAGATACTGCCCCCCTCCCCCGGGGCCCTGATTCTTCATTCATAAAGTGTGAGGAAGATGTACTAGAGCAGGGACTAGCCAACTTTTTCTTCAAAGGGCCAGGGAGTCAATATTTTAACACTGTGGCCCATACTGTCTTTGTTGCTGCTCCTTAACGTCACCATTCTGGTACAAGAGCAGCCACAGCCAATACATAAACAAAGGGTGCAGCCGGCTTCCAATAAAACTTTATGCATGGCCATTAAAATTTGAATTCGCATGTCTTTTATTTATCACAAAATACTCTCTAGATTTTTTTTTTCTGAGCAGGACCCATTCTTAGCATGGGATTCATACGAAAATAGGTGGCCAGATTTGGCTTGTGTGTGTCATTGGTCCCTAAGCCTCTGGACTTGGGCAGAGCTTCTCGCTTTAACTTGAAAAGGAATTACCTGGGGATCTTGTTAAAATGCAGATTCTGATTCAGTGCATTCGGCAGAGGCCAGAGAACCTGCATTTCCTTTGAGTTCCCGGGTGATGCTGCTGCTGGTGGTGCTGCTGCTGGTCCGCAGAGCGCACTTTGAGAATCATCCAGCTCAGCCACTCTCTCAGGTTCAAAGTGTGGCTCTGCACTGAAAGAATGCTCAGTCAGAAGCCTGGACACACTCAAGGGCCTGGAATTTTTTTTTTTCCTTTCCTTTCCTTTTCTTTCCTTTCTTTCTTTTTTCTTTTCTTTTCTTTTTTTTTTTTTTTTTTTTTTTGACAGGGGTCTCACTCTGTCACCCAGGCTGGAGTGCTGTGGTGAAATCTCAGCTCACTGCAACCTCTGCCTCTCAGTCTCAAGGGATCCTCCCACCTCAGCCTCCCAAATAGCTGGGATTACCAGCGCACGCAACCACACCTGGCTAATTTCTGTATTTTTTGTAGAGACGGGGTTTCACCATGTTGGCCAGGCTGGTCTCGAACTCCTGGCCTCAAGTGATCCTGGGCCAGCATTTTCTGTGTAACCTTCATCTCTGTCCCATGTTTTTCCTGCTTTATTTATTTCCTTGTTTTTTGTGTCTCCCGCCAGTCCAGCCTCCCCCAGCTAGAACACAAGCTCCTTGAGAGTCGGGCCTTGTTGCTGGGTTGCCCCACAGTCTGGCACCATGCAGGTGCTCAGTCAATATTCGTTAAATAAACGAATGAGTGATGCAGGCGGTGCCTGGTTGGCCTCCCTTATCGCCCATCCCCACGGGGACTTCGTCATTCTTTCACCACCTAGTGGGCACTTTTGTGTACTGCGAGGTGGGGGAGAAAAATGTCCATGTTTGAGCCTGATCCAGGCCGAAAGTAGAGAGATGTGGGCAGAGAGATGCCCCTTCTGGTGCCCCTGTATCCGTGTTTTTGTCTGCTTGCACAGAGCTCCTCGGAGAGCCTTCCTGGAGAAGGCAGCATTTGAGCTGAGCAATGAAGACAATATGCTTTGGAATGGTAGGAATGCGAGAGGGAGAAAAGGCATTTCTGGCAGAACAAACGGTGAGCAAAGGCCTGGAGGCTGGAGCGCGTCGGCATCGCCAAAGGGAGGAGAAGCAGCAGCAGCTGAGATGGGCAGTGGAAGGTGAGGTTAGATCAGGGTGTAAGGAGGCGGAGAGCGGCCCCAACGGAAGGGAACTTGCGCTGAGAGTGAGTGATCCGTGCCAGGCACTCCACACACAAGAGTTTGTTTAATCCCCACAAAGGCCAGTGAAGTTGATTTTAGGAACCCCAAGTTACAGACGAAGAAACTGAGGCTCAGGTCAGTGGAGGGACTTGCCCACGGTCACACAGCTGGTAAGGAGCAGAACTGGGTTTGAATAGAGATCATCTGACTGACTGTCTCCTCTCTGAGGGGGCCCTGCCTCTGGTCTGTGCTTGGTGAGGGGTGGGGCAGGGCACATGCTGGAAGCCCATTATACAGATATGGAAACTGAAGCCCAGATGGGGCGAACATTTTCCGATGACGCGCAGCAGGCAAGGCGCAGTGTGGCTTTCACCCCGGCCCTGCCTGGGCTTTTGTCTGACTGCTGGAAGCTGATGCTCTCGTACAAGAGACATGAGCAGCTGGCCACAGAGGGTAGCAGAGAGCCCAGTCGGGACCCCTTGGCCAGCCCAGACCCCTGGGAAATGTGCTCAGGCTTCAGCTCCCAGTGAGGTGTGGCCCTGGGGGGCAGGGTAACAGCTCATCAGCAGACCTGGGTTGCCCCCAGACTCAGCCTGCTGCAGCCTTGCACCCCACACAGAAAGCCACTTGCCCCTTTCTCAGCCCCTCAGTCTGCTCTTCTGGGGAGCAGAGGGCCCCAGCCTGGAAGATTCAGAGGGGCAAGAGAGCCACCGCTACTCAGACAGGATCGGGCTTCAAACTATGTGGTGTTCACCCCACAACAAGCCTTCAAGTGGGCACTGTTAGGATTCTCACTTTCAAGTCAAGATAACTGCGGCTCAGAGAGCCTCAAGTCCTTCTGCCTGAAGGACCTGCCCAAGGTCACCACGCTTGAGCTGGACTCAAATCCAGGTGAAGGTAACTGCTGTGGTTTGAACGTCCTCTCCAAAATGCCTGTTGAAATTTAATTGTGGCTGGGCATGGTGGCACATGCCTGTAATCTCAGCTACTCAGGAGGCCGAGGCAGGAGAATCGCTTGAACCCAGGAGGCAGAGGTTGTGGTGAGCCGAAATGGTGCCACTGCACTCCAGGCTGGGTGATAAGAATGAAACTCCATCTCAAAAAATAAAAATAAAATAAAATAAAATTTAATTGCTATTGTGACAGTGTTGAGAAATGGGTCCTTTAGGGGTGATTGGGTCATGAGGTGCTCTGCCCTCATGAAGAGATTAATGCAGTTATTGTAAGAGTGGATTACTTATGGCAGGAGTGAGCTTCTGATAAAAGGATAAGTTTGGCCCCATTTCTCTCTCTGTCTTGTGTGCATGCTGGCCATGTGATGCCTTGTGCCACAGGATGACTCTCTCCAGATGCTGGCACTATTTTTCTAGACTTCCCATCCTCCAGAACCATGAGCCAAATAAAGTTATTTTCTGTATAAGTTACCCAGTCTGCGGTATTCTGTGATAGCAGCGGAAAATAGATTAAGACAGTAACACTGAGGCATGTGACCACAACCCTCATGGCTGCCCTGTCCTGACCTGCCAGCCAACCCCAGTGGCTCCTTCAGCTACATCTGCTTATTCATCCATAGCCTCAAGGCATCATGGTTGCAGGCCTCTGGCTTTGTGCTAATGTGGCCCCCACATACATACCCCACTTCTCCCTCGGACCCTCTCCTTTAACCTTCCCAGCTTCAAGCCTGGGAGCGACACAGGGCAAGGACAGGGTAGGGTCCAAGCCTTTTCATGGTTCCAGTGCCCAACATGGGTCCCCACAGGGTGAACACTCTATAGACATATTCTGTGTAAGTGAGTACATCCCTGTAAATGGGGATACCATTCCCAGTTTTTAAGTAGGAAAGCTGAGAGTTAACAGGGGACAGTGCCCTGCCTGGGTCACCAGCAAGTTCGAGGCAGAGCAGTGCCCTGTCCAGGCTTCTTGCCATCCAGCCTCAGGTTTCCTCCCTGGGGCGATGCAGCCTAACGAAACTCCCTCAGCAGCTGGCATTACCTGAAGTCCTGCCCGTGAATCAGAAAGCTAGCACCCTGGGCTGCTTTTCTGCCAGGCATTGGCCAATCGCGCAGATGCCCAGCTGGCCCCTCTGGCACGCAAACACCCGGAATGTGCATTGGTTAGAGACCGCCAGGAGAAGATGACCGTGGTCAGATTTCTAGGGCTCCCTGGGAGGGAGTGCATTCTTTCTGTTGGGGATTTTTTACCGGAGCAGTTTCCTTAATCCTCCTCAGGGCATAGCTGGGATTTAGTAATGAGTTGTAACAGCCAGAATGGTTGATTCTCTGAGCCAGGACCCAGCTGTTCATTCTTGAACAAGCTGGGCTCCTCTTTTCCAGAGGTCCTGGCTCAGCTACCGCAGGGTGAGGTTGGGAGCAGGAATCCAGAACCAGCGTCACACCACCGCTCACAGGGGCAGAGCCTGTGCCCTCATTGTATAGATGGAGCCACGGAGGCCCAGAGAGGCTGTGAGGTGGGGTGGAGTCAAGAGCCAAGGTGGGCAGAACAACTTTGTGTGCAAAGACTCAACTGTGGGTGGAGCCAAGGGGAGGGGCTACCTCCCAGGACCGAGGCCAGTCTTCGGGCACCAGGAACAGGGCCTGCCAAGGTGTCATGGGACCTCAGTGCAGGACTGGTCCCACTGGGAAGCTTCTCCCCAGGAGACAAGCTCTGCGTTGCATTCTGTTTTATAGGGGTGCAGTCAAGGAGGATCCGTCCAAGCTGAGAAACAGCAGGAGTGACCCCTGGAAGCTGTGTCTTGGGTCGGGTCCCCAGAAGCAGGCTCTCTGCTGAGGATTTGTGAGCAAGTGATTGATTAAGGAAGTGCCCCCAGAATAAACCAGGAAAGGAGTGGGAAGCAGGAGAGGGGAGGGAAGGAAGACCAACAGTGCCATGTCTGGCCAAGTCCAGCAGGCAGGTGCTTCATTGTGATCCCGAGGGCCGCTCTGGAATGCAAGTTACATCTCAGGGTTATTGAAACCCCAGGCAAGGAAGCTGGGCTTCCACACTCCCCACACCCCATGAGTTAGCATCATCCAAGGAGATCTGGGCAGAGTGCAGCTTCCTGGAGGAGGAGGCATGGGCCTTGCTGTGTGACGACCCAGCGGGGTGTGCAGGTTCTGAGGAAAAAGGGTTTGAGCAGAACCTGAGGGAGGAGCTCAGGCATGCTGCTTGAAGGCCAAGGTTGCTCTGGGTAAGGACCAAGGTCCCATCCCTGATTTAGGACAGGCCAAGGAGGAGCAAGGGGATGGAGGCAGGGGATGGCTCCCTGCAGGCCCAGGTGAAGTTCATGCTACCATTTCAGCAAAAGTCCCATAAACCACCTCAGGAAATCCCTCTGTCATCTGCCGCTGTTTGGGGCCAAAAGCTTGAACTGTGATGAATTTTGTGAAAGGGAGAACTGCCTCATTCTGCCAAAGCCGTTCAGAAGTGAGTCACTAGCCCAGAACAGGCCCCACATAGCTGCACCAGCTCAGACTCCATCTAGCTGCACCTGCAGGAGCTAAGGCTCGAGGTGGACATCGGGCCTGGGCCCCAGGGCAGAGTCATGACCAACAGGGGGCAGCCCAGGGAGCTACTCCCCAGCCTTCAGTGGGCCCCACTTCCCTTCCCTCCTCCCCTCCCTGAAGGCCCCTCCCAGACCGCTTGGCCTCCGGCCTTGCCTCCTCCAACCTGATCTCCTGGGGTTGCTCAAGGGTCTCCTCTAAAAAGCAAATCCGGTCTTGTCTTTCCCCTGCCTGCCGCATTCCGTGGCTCCTCACTGCTCTCAGGAGAAAGACCAAAGTCCCTGTGTGCTCCCAAGCCCTCTCCTGATGATGCAGAGGCGTGGCCCATAGGGACTGAGAGCTGCTCACTTCAGGCAGAAGCCAGGCATCCTGGCAGCCCCTGAGAGCCGCCCAGCTGGCCAGAAGGACCTGCTCCCAGGCCTCCCTTTCCCTGTAATTCATATATAGAAAGCATCTAAATCAGGAGCCAACCCTCCACCAGAGGGAGCGGCGCCCTGGAGGTGGAAGTGGAGCTTTTCTTAGTCATTACATTTGGTTTTGTTTTGGGGGAAAAAAACAAAATGAAACAATTAAGGTCTTATTTTCACAATCACCTGTGGAATGAGGAGGCTTCCAGATGGTATTTGGTGAGAGCACCAGGAACCTTGTGGTCCTGTGAGGGCATTCAGGGGTAGGGAGTCTAACTCATCACCCAATCCTCATGGCTCCAACTTTAAACACACCCAGAAGCCTATCTCGTCCCCCAGCCCAGCTCCGTCGCCTGCACCTGGTCCAAGCTGAGGCCCCTCTGCCCCAGCCTCCTGGTTGCCCCACTGTTTCTGCCCTGGGCCTGCTCCAGTCCCTTCTCACGGACAGCCAGAGCCAAGCCTCTGCTCCAGTAAGGGATCTCTCCAAAGGCTCCTGTCTCCCTCCGGGTAAGGCCAGGGTCCTAATCACGGCCCACAGAGGCCGACACCACCGCCTCTGACCTCCCTCCCTCTGTCTCCAGCTTTCCTGGGATCCCGCCTGGGATCCCCTCTGCCCAGCACTCAGACCTCCTGCACCAGCTGTTCCCCTGCCTGGAACATTCTCCACTCCCCCCAGGTCCACAGGGTCTGAGCCTCATGTCCTACAGATGTCACTCAAAGGGTGGCCCTTCACTGGCTTCCCTGATGGCACCACTTCCTGCCCACTGGTCCTTCTCCCCCTCCCTCACTCTGCCTCATCTAGCCCTGGACACTCCACCAATCTGATACATCTTTATTTCTCTGTTTATTGTCTAGTTTCCCTCCATGCCCACCAGGATGTAAGCTCTGAGAGCAGGGGCTTTGTTTCATTCGCTGCCATAATTCCAGTACCAAGAACAATGCCTGGCACCTCCTAGTAGGTGCTCAATAAATATTTATTGAATGAATGAATGATTGAATTATGTCTGTCATTGACAGAGGGAAGTCTGGGCAACATAGTGAGACCCCATCTCTACCAAAACTAAATAATTAGCCAGGTGTGGTGGTGCATGCCTGTAATCCCAGCTACTCCAGAGGCTGATACAGGAGGATTGCTTGGTCCCAGGAGGTAGAGGCCACAGTGAGCCATGATCACACTGCTGCACTCCAGCCTAGGCAACAGAGAGAGATATAGTCTCAAAAAAAAAAAAAAAAAAAGGAAAAGAAAAAAAGAAAAGAAAATACATAGGGGTGGGCAGATTTCCCCTAAGATGCTCTAAGGATGCCCTCTCTAGGTGCAGGAGTCAGTCTAAAGTTACCTCCTGGGGGAAGTCTTCTGTCCAGTTTTTAAATGGAAGTTCTAGCTGCAGGCAGCAAGTCTCATCACTGAATAGAACCGGTTTTCATTTGGTGCAAACACTATCTCCTCCAGGAAGCCCTCCCAGGACCCTTCCCAGCCCCTAGTGAAAGTGCCTCCCTCCTGCTAGCCTGCCACTTTCTCCCTTGTGGTCCATTCTGGATGTCAGTGCCGGGCCAGTGAGCATCCTAGCGGGCGCCTGAGTCATACCCGGAGTGCACCTGGAGAGCCCCTTTCTGCTCACACTTTACAGGGCCCCATGCTGGCCTCAGACACGCCCATCTTCTCATTTAAGCCTTACAACAACCTTCCGAGGTAGTCATCACCATCCCCATCTTACAGATAAGGAAACTGCGGTCAGAGGCCACAGAGGTGACTTACCCGAGCCCCACACCTGGTGTCACAGTGGAGTGGAGCCTGGCTCCTTGGCCCTGAGTTCAGCCCCCATCACAGCTGCCGAATTCACAGTCAGTGCTCAACACGTGTTCACGTGTTTGGAGGACGAACCAAACCCGAGTTCTCGGGGCTCCCCAGCCAGCATGAAGACCGTGTAACCACAGCACGCATGGGCGGGCCGCTTGGCAATGGCCAGGCTCATGCTCTACTGAGCCCCTGGGGGTCACGACTCCCCTGCTGCTCTGTGCAGAGAAAGAAAAGGCAGTCACCTCTCTCTTCCCTCACTGGAAGGTGAGGCCCAGGGGGTCCGGCCTGTGGGATGTGAAGAAGCCACACATTGGTGCCCATCACCTGGTCCTCAGCCTCTCCTTAGGGCAGAGTCGAGGCCCAGAAGGTTGAAAGAGCTGGAAGCTGGGGAAGAGCCTGCACCAGTGCCTTTGCCTCTTATCAGTCAGTCCGATTTTTGTTCTCTGACTCCCCCTGCTACATACCAGAATGGTGCTCTCTCTCTCCCCCTCTCTGGGATCTGCACCTCAGTTTCCTTGTCTGTAATATGGGGGTAACTGAACCCCCATATTAAAAGGATCCAAGGATAAATGAGATAACACAAGTGCTTGGCATAGGGCCTGGAAGAAAAAAGTAAATTCCTTTTTTTTTTCGCTCTGTCGCCCAGGCTGGAGTGCAGTGGCGTGATCTCAGCTTACTACAACCTCCGCCTCCCAGGTTCAAGCGATTCTCCTGCCTCAGCCTCTTGAGTAGCTGGGATTACAGGTGCGTGCCCGGCTAATTTTTGTATTTTTAGTAGAGACGGGGTTTCACCATGTTAGACCAGGCTGGTCTCGAACTCAGGTGATCCACCTGCTTCAGCCTCCCAAAGTGCTGGGATTACAGGCACTGTAATCCGCGGTGAGCCACCGCGCCCGGCCCAAAAGAAAGTAAATTCTTAATAAGCAGAACATGTAATTATTAGCTAGCACATATATTACTTTGCCTCCTTCTTCCCCACTCTTACAAATGGATCTCAAGGCCTGGAGCTACAAACTTGGTTGTTAGACATCCTATTTGTTTAGAATGAAAAACAAAACAAAATAATAGTGCCCAATGCTGGAGAATGCCATGCAGAAATAGTACAGTGTCAGCCGGGCATGGTGGCTCACGCCTGTAATCCCAGCACTTTGGGAGGCCAAGGTGGGTGGATCACCTGAGGTCAGGAGTTTGAGACCAGCCTGGGCAACATGGCGAAACTCCACCTCTACTAAAAATACAAAAATTAGCCGGGTGTGGTGGCGCATGCCTGTAGTCCCAGTTACTCGGGAGGCTGAGGTGGGAGGATTGCTTGACCCAGGAAGTTGAGGCTGCAGTAGGCTGTAATCATAACACTGCACTCCAGCCTAAGCAACAGAAGAGATCCTGTCTCAAAATATAAAATACATAAAATAAAGCACAGTATAATAGCATTTTATGAGCATTTTAAATATTCAAGGTATTTTATCAAATGTTAAATACTGATAAATTCTCATTTTTGTCTCAGCTCTCCTGACTTTTAAAATGTATACCAAAAAAAAGTCATTTTGAAGCTGTCCAGTTAAGTGAGCTGTAAACTGGATTTACAATATTGCCAAGTAAGGCATTTCCTCAAACTGGCAAACTAATATAAATGTCTCCCCCTGTCTTTTGTCAGGTGTAGTCTTTCCTTCTTCTTTTTTCTTTTTTCTTTTCAGACCTGGTGAGCAGGAAGTACAGGATCGTTTTGAATTCAGCAGATTTTGAATAATGCCAGATCAGGAGTGGATCTCTGGGGTAAGATGCAATGGTCCCACACACTTATATGTCACCAGAGTCCACTCTTTGGGGAACAGCAATTTGACGGAACATGTCAAGAGCTTGTGAAAATAAGTAATTCACATTCGACCTGTTACCCAGAAAAAAACCGGGGTTCATTCACCTGGTGAATCTCAAACGGCTCTCCACGAGAACGCAGGTTTGGATCAGTAGGAGTTTTATGACTCGCCACAGGTAAGAAGAGCCCTGGGAGGATTCTCCAAAGCAGTGTCTCCCTGAGGGAAAGTGACAGGAGGGTTTTATGCAGTGATGGAGGGGACGAGGGGCCCCGCTGCTGCAGACGCAGGGCACCATCATGCCAGCCCACAGGTTGCCTGTGATGGTGATGAAGGTGTAGCTCCTCCTGAGGTGGAGCTCATGGTCAGCATGGTCATGAGGAATGTGTACTCAGGTTCATCTAGAACAGGGGTGTCCAATCTTTTGGCTTCCCTGGGCCACACTAGAAGAAGAATTGTCTTGAGCCACACATAAAATACACTAATACTAACTGTATCTAATGAGCTAAAAAAATCGCAAAAACAAATCTCATCATGTTCAAAGAAGGTTTATGAATTTGTGTTGGGTCACATTCAAAGCCGTCCTGGGCCGCCGGTTGGACAAGCTTGATCTAGAAGTTGCCTGGGTCTGTCAGGAGCTGGTGCCAGCAACTAGGTGACCACATTCAACACAGGGTTTGGGAAAAAACAAGCTGCAAAGCAGGAGGCTGTCAAACAGGCTTATTGTGCCAGTTGACTAAATGCCTATAGTCCCTGGAGACCCTCCCTGTCTGCTTACAAACCTGTTGGAATTTTATTTGGAGCCTTAAAGGAAATGTGACTGTGGGACCTGAGTCACATAACAGGCAGCCACAACCTCTGTTTCTCTGATTATAGATCAACTTTTTCCATACCTACATTCTTTTGTAAAATGTCGTAAAAGACTAAAGGGCACTGGAGGAAAGACCCCTTTTTCCTCATTACTGACTCTCCTTGTAGGTTAACTTCCTTCTTTCCTCTCTTGTACCTGACTCCGACCAGATAGCACAATAGGCTCTGTGACAATCAATTTACTCAAGATAGATGTTGACTATACCTTTCCTGACAAAGAACAAGCTGCAACCAATCAGATTGCTGTAATTCATAGATCAGCCTCGTATGGAAAAGGCTGCTAAACTTTAGTAATCCTGCTAAACTTCTTTGTTTCTACCTATGCAAGTAAAACCTTAACTTCTCCATTTCAGAGCATTGATTCCATTCCTCTGGAGTCTGTGTCTCCCGGACAGTCATCCTTAAACTTTGCACTTGCATTAACTCTTTTTTTTTTTTTTTTTTTTGAGATGGAGTCTTGCTCTGTTGCCCAGGCTGGAATGTAGTTGTGCAATCTCAGCTCACTGCAAACTCCACCTCCCAGGTTCAACCAATTCTCCTGCCTCAGCCTCTTGAATAGCTGGGATTACAGGCGTCGTGCCACCAGGCCTGGTTAGTTTTTGTATTTTTAGTAGAGACAGAGGTTCACCATGTTGGCTGGGCTCGTCTCGAACTCCTGACCTCAGGTGATCCACCATCCCACCCCGCCGCGGCTTCCCAAAGTGTTGGGATTACAGGCATGAGCCACTTTGCCCAGCCGCATGAACTCTTTAGAACAGTATTCTGATCCTTTTGATTATCAGGTTGAAAAGCCATAGAAACAATTTATATGCTTTAACCAATTATTTCCTCTGGGATTTATCCCAGAGAAATAATTTTTTTAAAGCAAACCAAAAATATAAGTGTTGGGGTACAGAAAATGATTCCCCAAAATGTGGCACTTGGGCATGCTGAGTGCTTTTGAAAACTGAAAGGCCTCACAAATAAGCCTCAGCATCAAGGCCTCTCTAACCTTGTCTCGTTCTCTCCCTCTCACCCCTCAAGTCCTTGGAGGGACTCTCTGGAATTTCCTTATCTGACCTAGAAAGTGTCTTGCCAAAAGAAACACATTTGCCTTCTGTCCGTCTGATACCCCATTATCCACTGCAGAAAAGAAGCCGGAAGAAAAGAAGTCAGAAGTCCAACCACAGCTGGATGGACTTTTCCACAACATAATGTCTGCCTCTCAGACTCATTCCATTCACAAGTTGATTTCTGTCTCCCTGATCCATTCATTCTCCTTAATAATCATTTACTGCTCCTCAAAACAATGCTCTATGTTTCCCATCTCCTCGCTCCCCTGGGAAAAAGAGTACATAAGCTTCTGTACCCCATTGGGGGATTGGGGTAATCACACTGTAATTCTCTCCCATGAATGTTAATAAATGTGTATCCTTTTTCTCCTACTAATCTGCCTTTTGTCAGGTGATTTTCAGTGAACCTTCAGAAGGAAAAGGGGAAGTTTTCCCTTCACCCATATGCAGGCATGTAAAGATGTTCATTGCAGTGCTGTTTATAGCAGAGAAAATGGCAAACACAATCAAACAATAGGGGGATAGTTAAGAAAAAAATGCACAGTTGCAGTTAGACTGGTCTCTACCGGCAGGGAGGTTTTTTTTCACCCTTTTTGATTCTCACAGCAGCCCTATGATGTAGACAAAACCGGGTTCACATTTATTCTCCCCATTATTCATGGGGGTGGGGGCCAGGATGCAGACTGAGTTTTGAGAAATTCTGGGCAGAGCTTCCAACAGGGAATCAGATTCTGAACTGGGACAGCTCCCAGGTGTCCTAAAGCGGAATCCAGAGCTGACTCACAGCAGCGTGTGTCTGACAGGGGGATCCAGCGGCAAGTCCCTACTCTTGGATAAAGATGAAACCACCTTTGCGAAAATTATGACAGAGGCCGGGCACGGTGGCTCACACCTGTTATCCCAGCACTTTGGGAGGCCAAGGCAGGCGGATCACCTGAGGTCAGGAGTTTGAGACCAGCCTGGCCAATATGGTGAAACCCCGTCTCTACTAAAAATATGAACAAATTAGCTGGGCAGGTGCCTGTAATCCCAGCTACTTGGGAAGCTGAGGCAGGAGAATCGCTTGAACCTGGGAGGTGGAGGTTGCAGTGAGCCAAGATCGCACCACTGCACTCCAGCCTGGGCAACAAGAGCGAAGCTCCAACTCAAAAAAAAAAACAACAAAAAAATTATGACAGAGAAAGAGATCTGACCTAACCAACTCCATCTTGCCTTTAACCTCCAAGCTGCCCTGTTCATTCCTGGGCATAGGCTGAACTTAGTTTATAGTTTAACTTTGAAACAAAGATGCTAACAGCCCTTTCCCTAAACAAACCCCTTCCTGCCTGAGGACCAGACTGTCTTTGTAAGACTAACAGGTTAGCCATAAGATTTGAAATTATGGTTTAGGAGTCACGCAGCTGGCTACAAGATTCTGAACCTTCCCAGTTCCTCCTAGGGATAACATCGCGATTGTAAAACCTAAGATTGGCACTTGAGGTATTTCTCAGACCCTGCACTGCTGATGCACTCTGATGCACAAACTGGTGCCACCCAGGCCTGTAATCTGGCTCAACCAGTTCTGCGATCCTACCCAGGAACAGAAGACAGCAAGAATCCACTTCAGGCGGATGATTCACGCCTGTAATCCCAACACTTTGGGAGGCCGAGGTGGGCAGATCATTTGAGGTTAGGAGTTCGACACCAGCCTGGCCAACATGGTGAAACCTCATCTTTACTAAAAATACAAAAATTAGCCGGGCATGGTAGCGCATGTCTGTAATCCCAGCTACTTGGGAGGCTGAGGCAGGAGAATTGCTTGAACCCGGGAGGCAGAGGCTGCAGTGTGCCGAGAACGCGCCACCACACTCTAGCCTGGGTGACAGAGGGAGACTCTATCTCCAAAAAAAAAAAAAAAAAAAAAAAAATCGACTTCAACCCCCGTATGATTTCATCTTCAGTCTGACCAATACGCACTCCCCAATCCCTGGTCCCAGACCTGCTGAATCATCCTTAAAAGACCCATTTTTGAATTTTCGAGGGGCTGATTTAAGTAATAATAAATTCCAGTCTCCTGTTTAGCCAGCTCTACATGTATTAAACTCTTTCTATTGCAATTCCCCTGTCTTGATAAATCGGCTCTACCTGGGCAACGGGCTAGAACTTGTTGGGCTGTTACTAAGACAGTGTAAGATCAAGCTTCATTCTGGCCCACTCTCCCCATCTCACCCAGAAGAGGTGGCCTCCTAGGCTGCCCCTTCCTCTCTTGATCTGACTGGGATTTCCCCCCTGTTAGGGAGCTCTGGAAGAACCCCCAGTCCCAGGCCCCACCTGGCTCTGAGCTGGGTTTACAGGAAGCCCCCTGTGCACCCCTGTCCCATGAGGTCATGTGGAAAAACCCTGGGAAACTCTAACACCTGCTGCAGGTGCTGGCTGTTCCTTTTTTTTTTCTTTTTTTTCAAGCTGTAGAATTTCTCTGCCATGCAAAACTTGTTGATAATAATATAACAAACATTTCCATCTCTATTGCCCTGCTTAGGAAATAAATCTTACGGGGACACTGGAAGACTCTTGGGTGTCCCTTCCTGATCCTGTTCCCCACCTCTGTCACCAGGGGTAACCCAAACCTGAACTGCGTGTTTATCCATAAATGATAAGTGGTATTGCTTTGCATGGTTTTAAACTTTCAGTAGCGGTTTCTGTCTTTTATTCATTCATAAACTCACAAACATATACATATTGAGAACCTACTGTATGTGAGGCACCAACCTAAGCCCTGGGAACATCCGTAAACAACAGAGAGGATTACTGCTCTCATGGGACACACATTCTGGTGGGGTGAGCCAAACCATAAACAAAAGGTATGAAACTGAGATACATTATTAATATGTTACAACGTGAGAAGTACAGAGGGAAAAAATAAGGGAAGCTGGAGAGGCAGGGGTGGTGGAATATTGCAATTTTAAGTAGGATTGCAATTTTTTCCCCTTTCTTCTTTTTTGAGATGGGGTCTTGCTCTGTCCCGCAGGCTAGAGCGCAGTGGTGCAATCATAGCTTGCTGCAGCCTCAAATTCCTCAGGCTCAAGCAAACCTCCCATCTCAGCCTCCTGAGTGGCCAGGACTACAGGTGCACACCACCAAGCCTAGTTAATTTTTTTTTTTTTTTGAGACGGAGTCTCGCTCTGTTGCCCAGGCTGGGGTGCAGTGGTGTAATCTCCACTCACTGCAAGCTCCGACTCCCGGGTTCACGCCAGTCTCCTGCCTCAGCCTCCCGAGTAGCTGGGACTATAGGCGCCTGCCACCACGCCCAGCTAATTTTTTTGTTTTTTTTTTTTTTTTGGTAGAGATGGGGTTTCACCATTTTATCCAGGATGGTCTCGATCTCCTGACCTTGTGATCCTCCCGCCTTGGCCTCCCAAAGTGCTGGGATTACAGGCGTAAGCCACCGCGCCCGGCCAATTTTTTTTTTTTTTTTTTTTTTTTTAAGTAGAGACAAGGTCTTGTGATGTTGCTCAGGCTGGTCTTGAACTCCTGAGCTCAAGTGATCCTCTTGCCTCAGCCTTCCAAAGTGCTGGGATTACAGGTGTGAGCCACCATGGCTGGCTGTGTATGTCTTGTGTATGTCATGGCATCCTTATATGTCTTGTGTATTTACTCAATATTGTATATGTTTTGTATAACTGTGCCATCTTTATTCATTCCCCTGTCAATAAGTATTTATTATATCTTTCTCTTGTATTTGTCCTTATAAACAACGTTGCCATAGCATTCTTGTAAATGTCTTTTTTTTTTTTTTTTTTAAGTCAGTGTCTTGTTCTGTCACCCAGGCTGGAATACAGCAGCATGATCATAGTTACTGTAACTTCAAACTCTTGGGCTCATGTTATCCTTCCACCTCAGCCTCCTGAGTGCCAAGACTACAGGTGCATGCCTCTATGCCTGGCTCATTTTTAATTTTTTTTTGTAAAAACAGTGTCTTGTTATGTTGCCCAGGCTGGTCTCAAACTTCTTACCTCAAGTGATCGTTCTGCCTTGGCCTCCCAAAGCACTGGGATTACAGGCATCAATATCTTTTTGTGCATGCACGGGAGAGATGTTCTAGGGCATGTATCCTAATATAGAATTGTCGAGTCCAAAGTATCTTCAACCTAGCTTAGCTAGATGGTATCAATGGCTTCTGCAAAAATAAATAAAATAAAATAAAATAAAATAAAAAATGAGCCACGCATAGCGGCACACACCTGCTGGGTCAATAGGCATAAGTGTTTTCAAAAAAAAAATTAAAAAATTAGCCAGGACTGGTGGCACACACCTGTAGTCCTAGCTACCTGGGGGGCTGAGGTGGGAGAATCACTTGAGCCTAGGGGTTTGAGGCTGCAATGAGCTGGGATCACACCACTGCACTCTAGCCTGGGCGACGGAGTGAGACTCTGTCCTAAAAAAAAAGAAAGAAGAAAGTAATTTTAAAAATATTTTGTTTTCAAAAACCCAGAATTGAAGAACACAAGTATCTGGCATGAAGAAAATATCCTACAAGTTTGCAGAGAAAAAGTGGATTTCATACAAAGGATCATGGATCCGAATGGCACTGGATTCTTTAACAGCGTCAGTGGGAACCGGAACATGATGGAGGAATATGTTCAAAATTCTGAAAGAAAGAGTTTGTAGTTAAATTAGTGACGAAAATTAGTAAACCAAGCCAATGGTAAAAACGAGACAATTGGGCCGGGTAGAGTGGCTCGCACCTGTAATTCCAGCACTCTGGGAGGCTGAGGCTGTGGATCATCTGAGGTCAGGAGTTTGAGACCAGTGTGGCCAACATGGCAAAACCCCATCTCTACTGAAAGTACAAAAATTAGCTGGGCTTGGTGGCGCGTGCCTGTAGTCCCAGCTACTCAGGAGGCTGAGATAGGAGAATCACTTGAACTTGGGAGGTGGAGGCTTCAGTGAGCCAAGACTGTGCCATTAAACTCCCGTCTGGGGGACAGAGAGAGATTCTGTCTCAAAAAAAAAAAAAAAAAAAAGCAAGACAATTATTAACTCTGAAAATCTTGAAAACAGATTTGCAGTCAGAATAAAGCAAATAACGAATATTGATCTGATCAGAATGACAAATAACTATATTGGGAGGCTGTGGGGGGTGGGAATACATGTATTAATATGCGTTTTGTTCCAGGGTGGGGGGTATTGTGAGTGAGTGATTGATGAGAGCCAAATTCTCCCCTTCCATAATGAAAAATCACTATATAATGTATAAACCTGAAAAATCAAGAAGTAGCAATATAAGCATGGTATTTAGAGAAAATACACTAAATACTTAAAGGATTGAAATAGTATCTCTGAGGCTGTGTATGGTGGCTCATGCTTGCAATCCCAACAGTTTGGGAGGCCAAGGCAGGAGGACTGCTTGAGCCTAGGAGTTCAAGACCAGCTTGGGCAACACAGGGAGACCCCTGTCTAGGATAAATGATAAAAGTTAGCTGGGCATGGTGGCACATGCCTGTGGTTCCCACTACTCAGGAGGCTGAGAAGGGAAAATCACTTGTACCCTGGAGGTCGAAGCTACAGTGAGCCGAGATCATGCCACTGCACTCCAGCCTGGGAGACAGAGTGAGACCCTGTCTCAAAAAAGAAAAAAAAAAAAAAAGTATCTCTGGGACTGAAAAAGCAGAGCAGGGCCATGACTGGGGGAGTGGCTTCAGGGAATTGCTGATTTTTGTAACAAATCTTGTAGAATTTTTTGACCTTTGAAATCATGTGCATGTATAACTTGATACAAATTAAAGTTAAATTTAAAAGCTCCCCTGAGATTAGCAGCCTTGAACATATGTCTTTCACATCTCTTCATTTGTTTCCTTAGGATAAATTCCAGAGGTGGGACTGCTGGGTCAACAGGCATAAGTGTTTTCAAGACCGTATCACCCACAGTGGTAAACAGGGCACCCATCTTTCCCTTTCCAGAGGGTTAATAGCCTTTACTTGCCAGTCTTTGCAAACACCATTATCAATTTTCACATCTCTGCCAATCTGATGGTAAAACGTGGTATTACATGGTAGTTTTAATTTGTGCTTCTTTGACTACTAAATAGTTTTACATAGTTAACATATTTAACCATTTTTAGTTCTTCTTTTATTAATTTCCTGTTACTGTTATTTGTCCATTTTCTTCACCTTTTTCACTCTTGATTTGTAAGGGCTCTTTAAATAGCAAGCCTGCTCATTCTCTATCACACATTGCAAATATTTCCCCCACAGTGGGCCCTTCTCCTTTCAATGTTCTTTTTTGATATAAGGGATTTTTTTGTTTTTATATAGTTAGTCTATCACTTATGTTTTTGGCCTTGGGGTTATGCCCGGAAAGCCCTGGCTCATCCGTGGGCCTTTTACAAGCGCAGCATCTCCTACAGCTTCACCTACTATTCCTATCGAGTATTTCATCAACTCCAAGTTTTTCACATTTTTAATCTCTGAAACTGGGATGGTGCTCAGGTAGTAGTCACTGCCTGCTGCAAATCAGGATGTGCAGAAAACATCAGTGATTTGTCAACAAAAGTCCCAGAGACGACAGTGGGGTATTCTGCAAGAAATGCTGCAACGTCACCTGTTTCTTTTTCCTGCTGGGCACGGAAGGAGGTAACATTTCTCAGCCTCCCTTGCAGTTAGGAGTGGCCGCGTGACCAGGTTCTAGCCACTGGACTGTGGGTGGAGGTGATACAGGTGCCTTGCCCGGTTGGCCCATAAAACCTCCCACAAGATCCTCTACTGTCTTTCTTCCTGTTTGCCGTCAGAGGAGCTGGCAGTGGCTCTGGGGGATGGCACAAGCAGTGGAGGTCCCTGAATGGCCACATGGGAGGCAGCTGGCTAACCAGGGATTCTCACTGCTCTTTGTGTAAACAAGTAATTTACTTCCATTGTGTTCAGCCATTGAGGTTTGGAGTTATGTTCCTCACAGCAGCTAGCATTGCTGATACCTAACTGACACCCTTGTCTTCATTCTGACTCTAATCCAAACTCCTCTAGACGGGGTTTAGTGTTTTATCATTAGTATGATGTTGATTCTTGATTTTAGATAGATACACTTTATCTTGTGCTCTTTTAAAAATCAAGTCTTAGTATTGGAGTTATGCAAAGTGTGTAAAATTAATTGGAAAATTTTTAACTTTTTTCTAAGCTCTGGGAAAGGTTGCATAGCACAGAAATTAACTGTTGGGTGAAACTGACAAAATTCATCCTAAGAACTGTGTGTGTCCTTTTGTAAGAGCACTGCTTTAACAAGCTTTACTTTTTTTAAGACAGAGTCTTGCTCTGTCGCCCAAGCTGGAGTGCAGTGGTACCATCTCAGCTCACAGCAACCTCCACCCCCTTGGTTCAAGCAATTCTCATGCCTCAGCCTCTTGAGTAGCTGGGACTACAGGTACTCACCACCATGCCTGGCTAATTTATTTATTTATTTATTTATTTATTTATTTATTTATTTATTTATTTATTTAGTAGAGATGGGGTTTCACTATGTTGGCCAGGATGGTCTTGAACTCCTGACCTCAAGTGATCAGCCCGCCTTGGCCTCCCAAATTCCTGGGATTACAGGCATGAGCCACCATGCCCGGCCTACTTTCTTTTTCTTTTCAAACTAACTTTTGTTATAGACTAAATTGTGTTTCCCCAAAATTCATAGGTTGAAGCCCTAAACCCCAATGTGACTGTATATGGAAACAAGGTCTTTAAGGAGGTAATTAAGGTAAAATGAGGTCACAAGGGTGGGACCCTCACGCAATATGACTGATGTCCTTAAAAGAAGAAAGACACCAGGGACACGTGTGCACAGGGCAAAGGCCGTGGGAAGACATAGCAAGAAGGTGGCTGTCGGCAGGCCAAGGAGAGAGGCCTCAGAAGAACTAAGCCTGCCAGCATCTTGAACTTGGACTTCCAGACTCCAGAACTGTGAGAAAATAAATTTCTATTGTTTAAGCCACCCAGTCCAGTCTGTGGTATTTTGTTATGGTAGCCCTAGCAGGACAACTTTTATTTTATTCATTTTTCATTAAAAAAAGAAAATAGAAAAAGCCATCCATAATTCTACTACTCAGGAATAACCATTGGTCAAATTGTGGTAAATATCCTTGCAAATACCCACTGACATTTACATATTTACTCATGTAAGTGGGAGCCATTCTCTATATATACCAACTTGCAACCTGCTTTTTACAAAATTTAATTAATTATTATTATTATTTTTTAGAGACAAGGTCTTATTCTGTCACCCAGGCTGGAGTGCAGTAGTGCGATCACGGCTCACTGCAGCATAAGACTTCTGGGCTAAGTGATCCTCCTGCCTCAGTCTCCAGAGTAGCTGGGACTATAGACATGTGCCATTATACCTGGCTAATTTTTAAATATTTTGTAGATATCAAGTCTTGCTATGTTGCCCAGGCTGGTCTTGAACTCCTGGCCTCAAGTGATCCTCCCACCTTGGCCTCTCAAAGTGCTGGGATTACAGGTGTGTGCTACCACACCTGGCTACGCAATCTGCTTTTTTTTTTTTTGGAGACAGTCTAGCTCTGTCACCTAGGCTGGAGTGCGGTGGCACGATTTTGGCTCACTGCAACTTCCACCTCCCGGAATCAAGCGATTCTCCTGCCTCAGCCTCCCAAGTAGCTGGGATTACAGGCATGCACCCCGATGCCCAGCTAATTTTTTTGTATCTTTAGTAGAGACAGGGTTTCACCATGTTGGCCAGGCTGGTCTTGAACTCCTGACCTCGTGATCCACCTGCCTTGGCCTCCCAAAGTGCCGGGATTACAGGCGTGAGCCACCGTGCCCAGCCACAATCGGCTTTTTATACTTAATATCATAAATATTTCCCATGTGGCCAGGTGCAGTGGCTCACGCCTGTAATCCCAGCACTTTGGGAGACCAAGGCAGGTGGATTACCTGAGGTCGGGAATTTGCGACCAGCCTGGCCAACATGGTGAAATCCCGTCTCTACTAAAAATACAAAAAATTAGCAGTGAGCGGTGGCGAGTGCCTGTAATCCCAGCTATTTGGGAGGCTGAGGCAGGAGAATCTCTTGAACCCAGGAGGCAGAGGTTGCAGTGAACCGAGATCGTGTCATTGCACTCCAGCCTGGGCAACAAGAGCAAAATTTCATCTCAAAAAAAAAAAAAAAAAAATGAAGGTTAAGATGTAGATTTTTTGTTATGTGTATTTTACCACAATTAGAAAAAAATGCTCTGAGGTTTTGTAGTTACCGGGCTGGGGCACCACCTAGAGAACGGTGCCCACTGGGCATGGAGGGCATAGAGCCCTGACTCCAGAATTCCTGGTGTGCCCCCAGCTGCCCTAAGGGGTCCTGGCCCATGCCTTCTCTTTGGGCCTCACCTGTCAAATGCTAAGCAGATCCATGGAATGGAAGATGTCCACGCTTCCTCCTGGCCCTGATGAGCTAAGATGAGAATTAGAACAAAAGCGTGTGCTTTTAAAAAAGTAGATAGAGAATTAAAAATACAATCAAAAATCACACTCACTATTCCAAGATTAAAAACATTCTTTAGAAACTGGGCTTATTAGATGACATACTTCCTGCATTGTGTGGGAGGGGAGGGGGCCGGGTCACCGGCGCTCTCCATAGGGGGCAAGCAGGTGAAATGATTATGAAATATGTCAAGAAAATGGTCCTTTTTTCTCGCCAGGAGATAAGGAAAGGTAATTTGGTCTGTCAGTCGCGCACACAGAAGACGTCATGGTCAACTGCATTAATACTGAATACTTTGTCCAGAGTCACAGAGCTCAAAGAAATTACAGAATCTTTCTCCTGTGAATTCTGGCACTACTCTCAGCAGGCCTTTTCCCACCTGAATTCACAAGAGAGATTAATAATAAAAGGCAGGGCTGACGGTGGGACCAGAGCTGCTTTTCCTGGGACCCCCTCCTCCAGCCCACCGGTTCAGCCTCATCTCTTGCCACACCCTCCCCGGTCCGGCTTCAGCCCAACTCAATCCCAGCTGTCCTGCTCTCTCTTCTTCCTACGGGCTCCTCTCCCATAGACGCCAGTCAAAGCCCACCTGCCCAAGCCACCTCCTCTGGGACATCTCTCTCCAGTCCCGATCACCTCCCGTCTGACTGACGCTCCCTCTGCCCCCACGTGCTCACACTTCTTTTTGCAGTTGTTGTGAGGATTGTGTGTCCCTATCTCCCTTCCCCAAACACCCCAGACCTCCCCGAAGGACAGACTTGCCCAGCTGGCCTCTCCCACGGTGTCCAGCCCAGGGTCTGGCACTTCGCAGTGGAAGGGGTGAGTTCACGAGGCGTCTACAAGCTTTCTCTCTTCTGATCTAATAAAAGGGTATCTGTGGTAGATTCTTTCTTTTCTGTATTTTTTGACCTGGCAGGGGTGAAGATGTGTGGTTAGGGTTGGGAGTAGACATTGGGATGCTCTCTAAACCCGTTGTGAAGCTGTTAAATTGCAAGAAACCATCTTCCTCTCCACCCTCCATTCCCACCCTATTCCCACAGGGTGAACAGGAAGCGCCCACTCAGAGCCCTTATTCCAAAGGTGGAAAAACCTCTTCCCTTTGCTGCTTTTGGGGACTCATCAGTCTCTGGAACAATTAAACCTCTTTCAATGCAGTTATATTCCCTCATGTAATAAGTACTGCATTATTTTTAGACTGTTTTACCCAATTAATTTTATTATCAGTTAATTATGTATTACCACCTTAAGAAAATGAATATTTGCCCAGTTGCTTAAGCTAAATCATTAAATATGTATGAATTCCTTTCTTTAAATGTACACCTGTTATCTTTTACAGATGCAGAAGACGTGTTTGGAGCCATCTGTGCCTCTGAAACAGACCCCCATACAAAAGTGCTGTCTTGGCCCTACGAGACAGCTCATGTGGGGCTGGGAGGCACCTGGGAAGTGAGGCCCACAAACATGTCAGAGATCTCGGCCTCAGCGTAAGTGGGAGGGCCACTGTCCTAAGCACCAGCTTGGCAGAATCTGGGGTGAGGGGAGGTGGGTAGAGCCCAGAGCCAAATGCATGAAGGTGCATGAATACAGAGCAGCCCCTGGAGGGTGATAGTTTAAGAAACAAACCTCGAGGCTGGGTGCAGTGGCTCACATCTGTAGCCCACAGATTTGGGGGCCAAGGTGGGAGGATCATTTGAGGCCAGAAGTTTGAGACCAAGCTGGGCAACATAGTGAGACCCTGTCTCTGCAAAACAAAACAAAAGAAACAAAATTTAGCGAGGCCTGATGGTGCACACCTGTAGTCCAAATTACTCAGGAGGCTGAGGTAGGAGGATCCCTTGAGCCCAGGAGGTAGAGCCTGCAGTGAGCCAAGATCATGCCACTGTACACTGCACTCCAGCTTGGGCAACAGAGTGAGATCCTATCTCAATAAAAAAAGAAAAGAAACAAATCTTGATTGAGGTGGGCATGGTGGCTAACATGTGTAACCCCAGCACTTTGGGAGGCCAAAGTGGGAGGATCTCTTGAGCCCAGGAGTTCAAGACCAGCCTGGGCAATAATGTAGTGAGACCCCCATCTCTAATTAAAAAAAATTAGTCAGGCATAGTGGCACACAACTGTAGTGCCAGCCACTTGGAAGGCTGAGGTGGGAGGATCTCCTGAGCTCAGGAGATTGAGGCTGCAGTGACCTATGATTGTGCCACTGCACTCTGAACTCAGCAACAGAGCAAGACCCTGTCTCAAACAAAATAAAACAAAAAAGAAACTCCTCCTGCTGCCTCTGGGTGATTGGGCGCAAAGCTCCACAGAGGTCAGCACGTCCGGTCCCTATGGGACCCAGACTCACTGTGTGTGACCTGGGGCCAGTCAGCAGACTTAAGCAGCCTCAGGCCCCTGGCCTGCCAAAATATTGAGATTACAGGCATAAGCCACAGTGCTCAGCTGAGAATTTTCTTTTCTTTTCTTTCTTTTTATTTTTGAGACAGGGTCTCTGTCTGTTGCCCAGGCTGGAGTGCAGTGGTGTGATCACGGCTCACTGCAACTTCCACCTCCTGGGCTCAAGGCGTCTTCTCACCTCAGCCTCTCGAGTAGCTGGGGCCGCAGGTGTGTGCCACTATGACCAACTAATTTTTTAATTTTTATTTTATTTTTAGTAGAGACAGGGTCTCCCTATGTTGCCAGTATGGTCTCAAATTCCTGAGCTCAGGTGATCCTCCCACACTGGCCTCCCAAAGTGTTGGGATTACAGGTGTGAGCCACCCACTCAGGTGAGAATTTTCTTAATAACAAATTAGATGAGACATCCCAATTGTTTGTTGTAGTGAGATTTGATTATAATTCACTCAATAAACACCTAAGCACTTTCTTGGTTGGGTACGGGGGAAACAGTGATAAATCAGATTTAGTCTCTACCCCAAGGATCTCCCACTCTGATGGGGAGACAAGCATGTGTGTAAGAATATAAATTGAATATTCAATTTATATTCTTATATTCAATTTATATTATCATAAATACACAGAGGGACTTGGGCCACAGTGTATATTTTTACAAGATTCCTGGAAGCATAGATTAGGGAGTGACTGGTTCTGTATAGGGAAATCAAGGAAGGCTTCTGAGAGGAGATGATGACTGAACAATTTACTTCATTCATCTGAAAAGACTGAGTACTGTGTAAGCGAAGGGGTGTCACTGTATATGGCAGCCCTGTTGAGTGGGCCTTAAAGGACTCTTGGTTGCAAGTGAGAGATACCTAACTCATTGTAGCTTAGGCAACCAAGGAATTCATTGGCTCCTGAAGTGTGGAAGTCTGAGGGGAAGCAGGCATAGCTGGATGCAGGGGCTCAAGCAGCCTTGTCAGTTCTCTCTCTCTCTCTCTCCCCCCGCCTCTCCCCACCCCCCCCATCTCTTGCCTCTCTGCTTCGCTTTCTTCTATGAGTTAGGAAAGATGGTGGTGGGCAGACAGATAGAGAACGTCCCAGCAAGACAGCTCTATCCAGGGGAGTCCTCCTTTCACCCAGGGACTAAAGTAACAATCCCAGAAAAGAATTCTTATTGGCTTCTTGAGTCACATGCCTGCCTCTGAACCAATCACGTGCCGAGGGGTGGGGCAGAGTGCTCCTCAGAGGGCCTGGGTTGGAGGAAGAAGCCACCAGGATTAACAGCCTCATGCTGTGGGAGGAGTGGTTCTCCCAAGGACGCTTGCAAACAAAATCATACATCCACTACAAAGGGCGGGAAAGACCTCTCCAGGCGACTCGGAAGGAGGTCTGTAACCCAAACATTGCCGAAAATGCTACTCCCAGGGTCTCTGCCATGCAGGATGCCATTATGACCAGTGACCCCTAAGCTACTGGGCAACCCTGCCCATGTCCAGCTGTGAGGACTGTTGACCTCTGAACTCAGCTGGGGAAGAGAAAAGAGGCACCCCCTTCCCACCTCTTCTCTAGGCTGTTAGAGCTCAAAGGGTGCTTGGAGTCCACCCATTTGTTCCATGGAGCTCTTTAAAAATAACAGCAAGAGCTCATGAACTAGAATGCACAAATTTTCTTTTGAAACCTCCTTTGCTCAGCCACAGACCATGGGAATTAAATTTGTGTAGTGCATTTAACAGACAATGAACATTGAGCGAGGTCACAAATACATGTTGGGATTACAAGACAAGACACCGAACAGAGACCAGCCATCATCCTCAGCCTTGTTATGATAGCTGCCTCATGTGCTGCCCGTGCCTGGATTCCCGAGTCTGACATCGCCCTCGTAGGTGCCGGACGGGCAGCCTCTCACGCCGTGACCCCTGCTCCTAGCACACCATTTCTAAAAGGTGGATCACCGCCGAGCAGTTAGAATGATATGGAACTGCTTTGTCTTTTTCTTATGCATTTAAAAATACTTTCAGGCCAGGCGTGGTTGCTCACGCCTATAATCCTAACAGTTTGGGAGGCCAAGGCAGAAGGATCGCTTGGGCCAAGTAGTTCAAGACTGGGCAACATGGTGAAACCCCATCTCTACAAATACAGAAAGAATAAAAAAAAATTAGCCAGGTATAGTAGTGCTTGCCTATAGCCCCAGCTACTTGGAAGGCTGAGGTGGAAGGATTGCTTGAGCCCAGGGAGGTCAAGGCTGCAGTGAGCCATGATTGCACCACTGCACTCCAGCCTGGGTGACACAGTGAGACCCTGTCTCAAAATAAATAGGCCAGGCACGAGGGCTCTCACCTGTAATCCCAGCACTTTGGGAGGCCAAGGTGGGAGAATCATTTGAGGTCAGGAATTCAAGACCAGCCTGGTTAACACAGTGCAATCCCATCTCCACTAAAAATACAAAAAATTAGCCAGGTGTGGTGGCACATGCCTGTAATCCCAGTTACTTGGGAGGCTGAGGCATGAGAATCACTTGAACCTGAGAGGCAGAGGTTGCAGTGAGCTGAGATCTCACCACTGCACTCCATCCTGGGCGACAGAGCAAGACTCTGTCTCAATCAATCAGTCAATCAATCAATAAAAATACTTTCAAGAAGGTGGTCACTGGCATCTTTTTGGCTTTTAGACCAGAGTGACATCATTTGAGAAAGACTGTTCTAGTCCAACCCTGCAGTTTTATAGATGGAGAAACTGAAGCCCAGAGACGGAAAGTGATACTGAAAGTGATTTCAACAGCTGGACTCAGAGTTGGTCTGAGACTCCTGGTCTGACACCTTTGAATTCGGTCAGGTGAGGAACTCGGGAAGGTCTGCAGGTGGCGCTGCTTCTAAAGGGCCTTCGGGACACTTGGGCTCAATTTTCTCACTTAACCTTGGGTTTCTGATTGAGAGTGGGAAACGCTGCTTTTCCTGATCTCAAAGGCGAAGGTTCCACCAAAGTTGTTCACACAAGTGTTATAAGAGAAAAATTTTAAACAAATTAAAATGTGGTACATCTTATTTAATGGTAATCTATGAAATGTACATCTATGAAAAACAGTATTGCTACCAAAAATGGCAGGTATGAAAATTAGGGATTACGGTAGATTAAGAGCAGTGATTGACACTACGATTACTGGCTTCCATGTATGCATGCCCTTGACCCTGAAATTTGTAGTCCCTCCCACTCTGACTCTGGGCCGGTCTTGCGACTTGCTTTGACCAGTAGAATGTGATGGAGGGTGAGACACTGTGTGGCCTGGTCACCCCAGTTGCCCAGGCCATGACCAGTCAGCCAAGACATGTGAACAGTGCCAGCTTAGACCAACCAGGGGACCCAGCAACTGATCACAGATGCATAAACAAGACTAGCTGAGCCAGGCCCAGATCAGTAGAACTGTTCCCCTGACCATAGACTCTTGGGCAATAATAAATCTTGTATTTTTTTAATTTTTAATTAATTAATTAATTTTTTGAGATGGAGACTGCTCTGTTGCCCAGGCTGGAGTGCAGTGGCTCAAACTCAGCTCACTGCAACCTCTGCCTCCCAGGTTCAAGCGATTCTCCTGCCTCAGCCTCCTGAGTAGCTGGGATTACAGGCATGTGCCACCATGCCCGGCTAATTTTTTTGTATTTTTAATAGAGACAGGGTTTCACCATGTTGTCCAGGCTGGACTCGAACTCCTGACCTCAAGTGATCTGCCCGCCTCGGCCTCCCAAAGTGCTGGGATTACAGGCGTGAACCACCGCACCCGGCCAAATCTTGTTATTTTAACCCGTTGAATGTTGAGTGTTAGATCGTTACATAGCAATAGCTGCTGGATATGGAGGTACTATTGAGCCTGGAGAGGGAAGCACGTGGAGACAGCAGGGCAGACGTGTCCATGAGCAGCATGACCTCCACCATGCGCCACGGAGGGGAGATGCGCAGCAGTAGCCCGTGCCCCTCATACCAGGGAAAATTCTGGAGGGAAACACACCGAATAGCTCAGGGATGGTATTAAGGGATGAATGGGGTAATTATGTTTTTCCTTTTTCTCTTCTCCAAATTTCCTGTGATATTCTTTTTTTTGTCTGTTTTTTGGTTTGAGGTTTTTTTTTTGTTTTTTGTTTTTTGTTTTTTTTTTGAGACAGGGTCTCACTCTGTCGCCCAGGTTGGAGTGCAGCAGCGTGATCATGGCTCATCACAGCTTCGATTTCCTGGGCTTAAGTGATTCTCTAAGTCTTAAGTGAGGGCTTAAGTGAGGCTAAGTCTCAGCCTCCTGAGTAGCTGGGACTGCAGGTGCCTGCTACCATGCCTGGCTACTTTTTGTATTTTTAGTAGAGATGGGGTTTTGCCGTGTTGGCCAGGATGGTCTCGAACTCCTGACCTCAAGTGATTCGCCCACCTCAGCCTCCCAAAGTGCTGGGATTACAAGTGTGAGCCTCCGCACCCGCCCTTGGAAATAATCACTTCTAACCTGTGAGTTTCTGAATGGGGAGAGTGAGGATGAGAGTCCACATTTGGTGGCAAAGCCAGAACTAGAACTTACTTCTCCTGAGTTGGGTCTAATATTCCTCCTAGCGGATGCTAAGCCTTTCCAGCAAGGTTGAGGCTCTGGGCTGGGACTAGGGTGAGGCATGCTGCCATCAGGGTGAGAAGTTTCAGGAGGCACTTGCTCCCAGGGCCCAGCCTGCACTCAGCCAGGAGAGCTGGTGCCTCCCAGCCTGCTGTGGGCAGAGCCCGTGAGTGGGTTTTGTGTGGCTGCCGGTGCTGCTGGAAGTACACTGTCCCAGTGTGAGAAGCACGGGGTGAAAATATGTGGACTCAGCACCTGGCACAGCTGCCTTAGGAGGCGTTGAGGAGTTGAAGAGCTGTGCAGAGTGGTCACCACTTGTTTTCCACTAAAGTGTGATTTTGTCTTATTTTCTTTCTTTTTTTTGAGTCGCAGTTTCACTCTGTCCCCCAGGCTGGAGTGCAATGGCCTGATCTCGGCTCACTGCAACCTCTGCCTCCAGGGTTCAAGCGATTCTCCTGCCTCAGCCTCCCAAGCAGCTGGGACTACAGGCATGCGTCACCATGCCTGGCTAATTTTTGTATTTTTAGTAGAGATGGAGTTTCACCATGTTGGCCAGGCTGGTCTCGAACTCCTGACCTCATGATCCACCCGCCTCGGCCTCCCAAAGTGCTGGGATTAGAGGCATGAGCCACCGCATCTGGCTGTCTTATTTTCTTTGTTGTTGGTGGTGATGTCCCTTCTCCCACCACCACCATCCCATGGGGAGGATTTAATAAAGGTAGAAATGTCTCAGGACAGTAAAATCAGGAACCTTCAGAAATGGTGAAGAGATGCAGTGTTAATCCCTTCAAGAACTGAGGTGAGGGCGGGGCGCGGTGACTCACACCTGTAATCCCAGCACTTTGGGAAGCTGAGGCAGGAGGATCATTGAGGTCAGGAGTTCAAGACCAGCCTGGCCAACACAGTGAAACCCTGTCTCTACTAAAAATACAAAAATTAGCTGGGTGTGGTGGTGTGCACCTGAAATCCCAGCTACTCTGGAGGCTGAGGCAGGAGAAAGGTGGAGGCTGCAGTGAGCTGAGATCCTGCCACTGCACTCCTGGGCAGCAGAGTGAGACTGTGTCTCAAAAACAAACAAACAAAAAAAAGAATTGAAGTTAGATACTTTTAAAGATTTTTGAATATCAAAGCAACTTTTGGTCTGATCCGGTAAACTGACTGAGCAAAGCAACAACTTTAAATCTGTGTCACCTCTTCAAGCGTGTCAAGTGCCTTCAGAGTTTCCTAGGAGAGTACTCCTGGTCACAGATTACTTTCGCCTGTTGGTAGGGTGATGCCCTGAGGAGAGGAGAGGGGCAGGAAGGCTGGGGGAAGTTGAGGGCCCGGCTGGAGAGGAGTGTGGGCAGGAGGGCCTCGCTGAAGAGGAGTGTGGGCAGGAGGTCCTGGGTTTCCTTCCAAGTGCCAGGTGAGCTTGCTCCTGACTCTGAGACCCCATTCCCTCTCCCCCTGGTGGGGTTCCTCAAGAGAAAATGCCACTGCACTTCTGTGAAGTGGGCAGTCAGGGCCCTGGGCACTGGAATGGGTGACGTGCCCAGAGCAGAGGGCTCAGCGGGGCTCCTGAGTTGGCATCAAGACTCAACAGAGGCCGGGCACGGGGGCTCACACCTGTAATCCCAGCATTTTGGGAGGCCAAGGTGGGCAGATTGCCTGAGTGCAGGAATTCAAGATCAGCATGGACAACATAGTGAGACCCCGTCTCTACGAAAAAAACCATAGCTGGGTGTGGTGGCACTCAACTGTGGTCTCAATTACTCAGGAGGCTGAGGTGGGAGGATTGCTTGAGCCCAGGCGTTCGAGGCTGCTGTGAGCTATGATCGCACCACTGCACTCTAGCCTGGGCAACAGAACTAGACCTTGTCTCAAAAAAAAAAAAAGAAAAAGAAAAAGAAAAAAAAGACTCAGCAGGGCTGTCCCCAGGGCAAAGCCAAGGGCCAGTGAGGACGTCATGGGAATGCAGCGTGATGAAAGAGAACGTTTTCTCTCAGAGCTGCTCGAGAAACATGGTGCAGCCACTGTGGGAAACCAGATGGCAGTTCCTCAAAAAATTAAATGTAGAACTGCCATATGGTCCAGTAGCTCCGCCTCTGCATACCCAAAATAATTGAAAGCAGTGGCCGGCGTGGCTCATCACTGTAATCCCAGCATTTTTGGGAGGCTGAGGTGGGGGGATCACTTAAAGCCAGGAGTTCGAGACAAGCCTGGGCAACACAGCAAGACCCTGTCTCTACAAGAAATAAAAAGATTAGCTGGGTGTGGTGGTGCCCACCTATAGTCCCAGCTATTCAGGAAGCTGAGGTGGGAAGATTGCTTGAGCCCGGGAGATTGAGGGTGCAGTGAGCTATGATCGCACCTTCTCCAACCTGGGTGATAGAGCGAGACCCTATCAAAAAAAACCCCAAAAAACAAAAACAAAAACAAAAACAAAAAAAAAAAGCAGGTTTTTTTTTTTTTCTAATACAGAGTCTCACTCTGTTGCCCAGGCTGGCATGCAGTGGCATGATCTTGGCTCACTGCAGCCTCCGCCTCCTGGATTCAAGCAATTTTCCTGCCTCAGCCTTCTGAGTAGCTGGGATTACAGGCGCCCGCCACCATGCCCAGCTAATTTTTGTATTTTTAGTAGAGATGGGGTTTCACCATGTTGGCCAGGCTGGTCTCAAACTCCTGACCTCAAGTGATCCGCCCGCCTCAGCCTCCCAGAGTGATGGGATTACAGGCGTGAGCCACATGCCCTGCTAAAGCGGGTCTTACATAGGCGCTTGTACACCAGTGTTCACAGCAGCATCACTCACAATAGCCACAAGGTGGAAGCCACCCAACTATCCATCCACGGCCAGATAAATGGATAAGCAAAATGTGGTGTGTACAAGCAATGGACTATTATTCAGCCTTAAAGAAAAATGGGAATCCGGACATATGCTGTCACAGGGATGAACCTTGAGGACATTATGTTAAGTGAAATAAGCCAGACACAAGGAAAAAAAAATACTGTGTGATTCCACTCACATGAGATGCTTACAGCAGTCCAGTCCAATTCATAGAGACAGAAATGGGGGTGGTGGTTGCCAGGCGTTCAGGGGAGAGGAGGAATGAGGGAATATTGTTTAATGGGTAAAGAGTATCAGTTTGGGAAAAAAGTTCTGGAAATGGATGGTGCTGATAGTTGTACAACAATGTGAATGTGCCTAACGCCACTGAACTGTACACTTAAAAATGATTAAAGTGGTAAAATGTAGGTTATGTATATTTTACCACAGGAAAAAAAAAAGCTGTTCAACAGTGACTTGGGCTGCCTTGGGAAGTAGTGACCTGTCCATTAGTGGAGGTGTGGAAGTGAGGCTTGGACACTTGCTGGACGCTGGGGAGGTACGCGAGGATGAGGGAGAAGAGCAGAGGGTCATCCTGTGATTTGGGTCAGGATGGGGATAACAAGAGTGGTTGACATTTTTTGAGCTCTTATTTGTGTGCTGTGCCCTGAGCTAAACAATTCACGTAGATGGTCTCTTTTTCCCCTGGAGCCACTGAGGCAGGGTCTGTGTTATCCCACAGACTGACAAGGCCACAGCCCTGGTGGGCATCAGTCATTGCCACCTGCCCAGATCCCCTTCCAAGAAGGACGTGCTGCCCAGCAGCTGGGCAGGCGGTCAGCATACGGCCTTAAGTGACCAGCCCTGTAGGACAGCCTCAGCTGCTGAGATCACCCAGCCTGAGGTCACACCCTTCCCAGGGCAGCCCACATCCAGCCACTGATCTGCATGGGGGTACAAAGGCCTGGCCGTCTCTGCATGAAACTCCACGTTCAGAACTTTTTTTTTTTTTTGAGACAAGGCCTTGCCCTGTCGCCTAGGCTGGAGTGCAGTGGTGCAATCTTGGCTCACTACAACCTCTGCCTCCCGGGTTCAAGTGATTCTTCCATCTCAGCCTCCCGAGTAGCTGGGATTACAGGTGCACACCACCATGCCAGGCTAATTTTTGTATTTTTTGGTAGAGGCGGAGTTTCACCATGTTGGCCAGGCTGGTCTCGAACTCCTGACCTCAAGTGATCCGCCTGCCTTGGCCTCCCAAAGTATTGGGATTACTACAGGCATCAGCCACCACACCCAGCCCACATTCAGAACTTTTGAAAGGACATTCGGGCTTCCAGGTGTCCCCTGAGGTTGGCCCCATTGTTGCTCAGCCCGCATGGCAGCTAGACTTTCCCATTTGCCCACTCCTGCCTCTACCCACCTTGCCCAGGTGCTGATGCCAAGAGTCCTCTTCCATAAACATCCATGTCAGGGGCTCGGGAGCCTCACCTGCAGCGTTTGTTTAGGCCACTCCTCTGAGTGACGGTGGAGCTGGGGCCAGGGGAGAGAGCCTGACCTGTCTTGGACAGAGAGAAGCTCTGCTAACCCTCAAGAGGGCCACTCAGGGCTTCTTGGGTGACCTTGGTCCCCAGTACTCAGCCAGTCTGAGGACCCAGAGCCTTGGAGACCAGGGGCGAGTGTGCCTTGGGCTTCTGTTATCCCCATTGCGCCTGCCTAATAGCAGAACCACACCACAATAACACTGGAGCTAAATTCTAATAGCTAGCCCCACCCGTTAATGGCCTCTTATACATTTAAATTGGGTGTGATCCTTTGGGAACTGTAATGTTATTCATGGAGATTGTGTCGCCTAATTTGAATACAGAAAACTGTACTTAAGAGATACGGCAGCTCAGATGGTTTCTTCTTTCCCTCCTCCTGTCCAGCTTCTCAGTTCGGCTTGGCTGAGGGTACACTGTGTGCCAGAGAAGCATAAGGGCCGCTGCCACCATTAAGTAGAGAAAAGAATGCGGAACAGCAGGGCATGGTGGCTCACACCTGTTATCCCAGCACCATGGGAGGCCCAGGTGAGGATCGCTTGAGTCCAGGAGGTCGACCAGCCTGGACAATGTAGTGGGACCCTGTCTCAAAAAAAAGGAAGGAAGGAAGGGAGGGAAGGAGGAAGGAAGGAAGGAGGGAAGGAAGGAAGGAAGGAAGGAAGGAAGGAAGGAAGGAAGGAAGGAAGGAAGGAAGGAAAGAAGGAAAAAATGCAGTGTGGAAGTCAATTGAAACCAACAAAAAGTCAGAATTCCACTGTGTGACTTCAGCAAATTACTTAGCCTCTCTGAGCCTCGGTTTTCTTGTCTATAAGTGACAAGAGTTTTAGTTCTCCTGCTGTGGGAGGACTGCATGTCAGTGAATACACAGAGAGCACACAGCATGGGGTACTCAAGTATCAAATATTTGAAGTATTGGCTGCAAAAATTCACAAGAGTTATTTGTTTGGACCACCTCGATCCTCATGTTTTTCAATGTAAATAACAATAGAAAGATTGGCAGGCAGGTTGTTTTTCATTTTTCTTTTTTGTGTTTTTGAGACAGGGTCTGCTCTTGAATACACCAGCAGCCTTGAACAAGATGTTCACGGCGGCTCGATTGGTGGGGAGGGGGTTTGCCCAGATGTGCAACAGTAGGGAAGGCTGTGGAGGAAAGTAAGGAACTCCAGCTGCCTGCAGAGAATGTGACACTGCCATAAGACCAGGAGAGTGGCGGGGCCCCTGTGAGGCTCCAGAACTCAGCGCCTGCTCCCTCTTTCCTGGTGGAGGAGCATCCCTGCCCCGACAACACACACATCACACAGGAAGTGGGGCTTTTCCCTACAGAAAACCTGGCTTCAGACCTAGGTAGCTCTGGATAACCAGGACAGAATCACATCTGAGCTGGAACTGTCCCCATCTAACCCCACTGCTCCCCACACAGAGGGGACACTGAGGCCCAGTGGGGGATGACTTGTCCAGGGACACACGGCTGGCCCAGAACTTGGGTCCTGGCCTCTGTCTTGGGCCCTTCTCTGACCAGCTGCCTTTTCCACTTCCTTGCAGCTGGCAGGAGGTGCCTCCTTCTTTGTCCAGAAAGAAGAAAGAGTGGCTGCTTGGCCCGGGGGCTGTCAAAGGGCAAACCAGGTCAATGGTCCCACCCGGCCCACAGCGTCAGAGGTCCCCCACGAACGACTTGGCTGAGGCATCCCTCCAGGGGTGGGGATTGGCCCCTCCATCCTCATGGCAAGCATGCTAATAGGCCTCCTCCTATCACTGCCTCCTGTTTCTTGGATGGGATAAACTGTTTGGCCTTTGGACAAGATTACTTTTGCACCAAACAGGATTGTTATCACTTAATTGAAAATAATTATCCAATGCAAATTGAGTTCAACTTATCTAGCTGGAAATAAAGAAGTGAGTATTTTGGGTGGTTTCACTGCTGCAAAGGCAGGTATTTTAAGCAAATGAAAGTAACGAGATGCAGGCTGTGTTTTCTGCAGGAGGCCCTGGGAAATCTGGGGGCCTTTCTTGAGTTGGCCCCTATGGCCGGGAAGTCTGGGTCACCCCCTTGTCCACATCAGCGGTTGTTCTAATGAGTCTGTACTGGGGGAGAAGCTCTGACAGAGCCGGAGGCCGTGGGGGTGGCTGACTGTGGCAGGGGTGCCTATAATCCCACACTGTGGTTCTGTCCCTGTGGAGCTTATCTCTTCAGACACAGGCCCTGGCCTCCTCCAGAAACAAGAAAAAAGTGTAGGGGGAAGGAGAGAGTGCTCTTAATGTAGGTCTACTGTGGGTGGCCACGTCTCCTCCTCTGTGTCCTTTACCACAGGCACTGTGCCCTTCAACCATCCAGGTACCTGAGCCAAACCAAGTTCTCTGAGGCTCTCTCCGTCTTGCCCACTCACTCGACTGGCCGCTAACTCCATTTGCTTACTTAAGTATTTCTTGGCTTTGTTAATTTCTTTCCACGCCCACTGTATCAGTTGCCCATTGCTGCAGCAATACTGCGTAACAAACAGCCCCAGAATCTCAGTGGTCTGCAACAACAGGCGTTCCTTCTCAGGGCCTGCAGCTCTACTGACCTTGGCTGGGCTCACTCAGGGGTTGGCAAGCTGGTGGGCATCTCTGCTGTACGTGTCCCTCATCCTCCTAGGGTCCACGGCCAAGCTGGACAGGTTCTTCTCATGGTGATGGCAGATGCATGAGAGGAAAAGTAGAAATATGTAAGGTCTCTTACCATCAGCTCTCAGACCTGGTATCAAGACTCATCTGCCCCATTCCATTGATCAAAGTAAGTCACAAGACCAAGCCCAAAGTCTCATATAGCCAGAGTGTGGATGCAGGGAGGTGGAAGAATTGGGACTAAAATTCACACCTACTACTGCCACCACTGACCTTCCTGGGACCTCCAGTCCTGACGTCCCCACTGGAGTCCTCACCTCTGGTCTCAAACTCTCTGATCTATTCTCCATAGAGTAGTTAGTTTGCTCCTTCTAAAATGCAGACCTGAGCATATTACCTTTCAGCTTAAAAATCCTTACAATCCTTCTTTCATGTGGGGGTCTTATTCCTGTTTTCTGAGAATAATTGAAATTCAATTGTAAAATTACTCTTTTTAGCAATACCCTAAGGAGCCTATGAAAGATGCCAACAGTACAGTTATTGTGGTGGCCCCTCTAATTGAGTGGCTCTGGTTCTCCTTGTTTCTAGGGGCAGCCCTGGCTGTGCGTGCTCACACATGGCAATGCACGGGAGATCTGCAGCCCGGACAGGAGCTGGAGCACGTGGGAAGGACATGAGGCAAATGCTCAAGGACTCGAGAACAGCAGGCCCCAGTGGTGGGAGGGGCACCCTTTGAGCACTGTTACATGGGAAGGCCATGGCACGGCGCCAGGCTCATGGCAGGGACTTTATTCTCTTCCAAACTCCAACCATGAATCCACCCAGGTGTAAACCTTCTACAGTAAGCCAATTGTGCCTACTGAAGCTCTGTAGACAAGTGCTGCTCAAAATGTCACCTGCAGACCTGTGCTGCTCTGCAAACGCTTGGTTAGATGTCCATGAAGGGGAATAAGAAGCTCGCACTGGAATGTACGTTACTGTCACTCAGCGGGCTATTTAGTCCTGCTGACTTTTTCCACAGCAAGACTTTCTCAATAAAGGAAGCAGGTCACTGATTTACTCTCTGGGGCAAAAGCTGCTTAACTCATGGTAACAAAGTTTGTGGCCCAGCTACTTTCAGGCTGCTTCTGGGGACACTAACCTGAGGTGTCCAAGCATCTCTGAGTGGTACCCAGGGAAAATTATGAAGGCATTAGGCAAAAGCTAGTAGTTTAAAAAATCATAAACGCTATAATAATAAAAAATGAGAGGTTACCTCAATATAAAAAGAGATAAGTGGTTAAATAAGTTATATATGTCCTCTTAATGTAGTTGACAGCACTTATAAAATAAGAGGTTGAGGACTTTATAACGGGACGAAGAAAGGCTTAGGATATGACAGGAACTTACAACAGAAGTATGATATAAAATGGTGTGAGCAGCCCCCACGAACACGTAGAGAAGATATATGTGCTCACACTCACCTACTCGGAAGGAAATGCACAAAAATACAAATAGGGGATTTGTTAGGGTGACGTAATGATTAAGTTTTCTTTTCTTTTCTTTTTTTTTAATTTGAGACAGTGTCTCACTCTGTCGCCCAGGCTGGGGTGCAATGGCGCCATCTCAGCTCACTGCAACCTCTGCCTCCCAGGTTCAAGCGATTCTCCTGCCTCAGCCACCTGAGTGGCTGAGACTACAGGCGCCCGCCACCACGCCCGGCTAATTTTTTTCATATTTTTAGTAGAAACGGGGTTTCACCATGTTGGCCAGGCTGGTCTTGAATTCTTGACCTTAGGTCATCCACCTGCCTCGGCCTCCCAAAGTGCTGGGATTATGGCCATGAGCCACCTTGCCCAGCCTATTTTTCATACTTTTGGGATACAGTTCTGTTACTTTATAATGAAAACAATTGTACGCCTAGTAATAAAATATTTCCACCATCCATCCAGATGGTACCCTGTATTTCAGTGTTTCATTAGATTCCCACATTTATACATTAAACAGTCATTAATTCAGATACACAAATTCAGGGTTTATGATCACTCATACCCCTTCTTCCCTCCCTTCTTCTCTTTCTCCCTCCCTCCCCCCTTCCCTGCCTCCCTTTATCCTTTCCTTCTCTCCCTCCTTTCCTCCCTCCCTTCCTTCCTCCCTTCCTTCTCTCCCTGCCCTCCTTCTCTGCCTCCCTCCTTCCTTCCTTCTTCATTCAGTAAACCTTTAGGGAGCACTCCCTAAGTGCCGGTCCAGGCACTGCAGGGCAGCAGTGAGAAGCCATCACTCCCGGGCCTCACTGGAGGCAGCTGGGGCTCATCCTTGCACTCTCTGTAATTCATCTCACAAACATCTGCCCACTTTGCTCTGTGACCCAGCCTAGAGGACAGAGGCAGGTTCCCACTGTCCAGCAAGAGAGAAGACAGATGCATATCCAGGACACTTTTCATCTTCAGAAATATTGGCTAAGAGCTTAAAAACTTAATACATTCCTGTAACAAATTCAAACACTGCTTCATATGAAAGCAAAATCAACTTGCCAGAGATAAGCAAGAGGAGCAGTTTGGTGTGTATTCTTCCAGATTTCTTTCTATGAATATGCAAAGACATATTTCTTTATATAAACATTTATAAATTTATATTATGTAATATAGAATATATCAACATTTATATATTTATATTAGGTAATATAGAATATATAAATATAGGACAGGTGTGGTGGCTCACGCCTGTAATCCCAGCACTTTGGGAGGCTGAGGCAAGCAGATCACTTGAGGTCAGGAGTTCGAGACCAGCCTGGGCAACATGGTGAAACCCCGCCTCTACTAAAAATACAAAAAATTAGCCAGACGTGGTGGCCAACACCTGTAATCCTAGCTACTCAAGAGGCTGAGGCATGAGAATCGCTTGAACCAAGGAGACAGAGGTTGCAGTGAGCCGAGAGCGTGCCACTGTACTCCAGCCTGGGTGACAGAGAAAGACTCTGTCTCAAAAAAAAAAAAAAAAAAAAAAAATATATATATATATATATATATATATATATATAAATTTATTTATATGCTCTCTCTCTACATATGTATACACACATACATTCCCAAACATCTATATACGTGTCTTTATAAATCAGGCAGTTTTATTTTCATTTTTAAATAAAGTTCTGCAACTTTAGTGTTTGTTGTTCTGAAGCAAAGCATACAAATGTGTGAAGTGCTGGGAGCCACAGAGGACAGTGCCAGTGCCAGTGCCGGGATGAGGTGGCCCCGAGGGTGGGGTGACTGTGGCATCCTTACTGTACCCCTCGCTGGGACGGCATGGTCTCCCCCAAGGCTTCACTGAGGTGGCGCTGCAGCCGGCCGCTGACCATGACAGGATTTGGCTGGGCAGAGACGGGAGAAAGGGGTACCGGGGGAAGACAGGGCAGAGTGAAGGCCTCGGGTGGGAGAGGCGGCCGTGCCCTCGGTGGCGCATCCTGCACGTGGAAAGCCTCCCCGGATGGTGGATGGGCCAGTGGCGCCCAGACTCATGGCTTGATTCAGGCACATCCCTTTCTCCTGCCTTCCTTTGGAGGTCCCACGCAGTGGCCCAAAAGCATCCGGAACCAGCCACATTGTGGGGAGAGAAATAATCACTGGGGTCCCGATTCATCATGGAAACAAATGCTGTACTTGAACACTAAGGAGAGAGTTGCATTTGCAGAGTCCGTGTTGTTTATGCCGTGAGAAATGACTTCATAGGCTGAAGGGTGGGGCTGGATGGGGCTGGATGGGGCTGGCCGGGTCTCAGTGTCCTCTGCCTATTCATTGTCTAGGGGGCAAGCCAGCCACAAGTCCACTTCCACATTGACAACTGTTTTCAGAAGATGAGACGTCTTTACATGTGGGAATTTACCTAATGCTAATCTGGATAATTAAGAAAAACCCAGCCAAAATACCCCGAAAAGATTCAGAAGGAACTACTGCTGATCTTCGTAAACACAATGGCACATTTCTGTATCTTATTCAGATGGCACTCCCAAAATAACTGGTTCAAGGGCCTCCCGGGTGGCCGGTGGCAGGGGGCAGATGTCTTATGAGGTCCTGGTCCTGACAGCCCAGCCTCGGGCACAGACTAAGCTGCAGACACCCTCAAACCCTTGCATGCTTGGTCCATGGAGATTTAGCCACATTCCCTTCCCTTATGACTCTCTTCCCTTCTCTGGGTCTCAGTGTTGCCCTTTGTAAAATGAGGTGAGGGTGGGGGGCAAGAAAAGGCCATTACAAAACAAATCATAAAGTAAGGAAAAGAATCACCAAGAATCCTTTCCAATCTGATCTTATTTAAAAGCAAAAAACTCACTCTAGTCCCAGCTACTCGGGAGGCTGTAGGGGGAGGATTGCTTGAGCCCAGGAGCTCAAGGCCAGCCTGGGCAACGTAGCAAGACCCCATTTCTTCCTTTCCTCCCTTTTTCTTTCTTTTCTTTTCTTTTTTTTTTTTTTTGACAGAGCTTCACTCTTATCGCCCAGGCAGGAGTGCAGTGGTGTGATCTCAGCTCACTGCAACCTCCGCCTCCTGGGTTCAAGCAATTCTTCTGTCTCGGGCTCCCGAGCAGCTGGGATTACAGGCACCTGCCACCATGCCCGGTTAATTTTTTGTATTTTTAGTAGAGACAGGGTTTTGCCATGTTGGGTATGCTGGTCTCGAACTCCTGACCTCAGGTGATCTGCCCACCTCAGCCTCCCAAAGTGCTGGGATTACACGTGTGAGCCACCGCACCCGGCCTCAAGGCTCCATTTCTAAACACACGCACTCACAAAACAAAACGAAACAAAACCCAAGGGGAAACCAGATCAGCTAAGAACCCCTAAGCTGCCCTAGGTTCCAAGCCTCAACTCATGACCTTGTCCTGATATCCCCTCACTCTATCCCAGGACACTGTGTCTACCTACCTATGTATTTTACCTTCTCTCCTACACACACACACACACACACACACACACACACACACCCACATCCACAGAGTCTTGAGCTCTCCAGCTTGTGCCTTGGTTTACCCATCAATATTCTCACGTACAGTGACTTGGGACCTCAACCACATCATCTAGACTGTGGTACATCATATCTTCTCCCTTGTGCCCCAAGCTGGCATGGCTACCCGACCCCGCTTTGAGATCATCGACAGCACAGACCACCCTTGGTCAGCCATGCTGGGATCATTCCTGGAATCAGACAACTTCATCTGCAGTTGGGTGTCCCTGTCTCTGTCCTATCCATCTCCTCTCCCACCACAACCATGTTCCGACCCTGACCAGTGCTCTCAGCCTGGATGACTCCTCCACTGGCCTGCCTATGAGCCTTTGAACAAGCCTGTCTGAGATGCTTTTCCCCCCATTCATTCTGCTTTCATCTAAGAGCCACTTCCTTAGGGGAAGCCTGCCCAGATTCCACTCTTCCAACCCAAGTCAGAACTGAGCCGCCTGCCCCACCCCTAACCAGTCCCACAGACCCTGTACCAGCCCCAGCTGAATGCCATGGCCATCTGTGTACATACTAACTTCCAGCTCTTTTACACTGCCTTTTAAAACACTTAAAAAAAACTGACATTAACCTACATAAAGTACAATTACAACTCAATACATTTTTCTATATTTATACATCCTTGTATGGGTTTAGGATGCAGATGGGTAGGTCAAGGCACCAACTGTGAAGCTAAAGACTCTCTGTGGGTGTCCCCATATGTGTTGGAGAGGCAGGACTACCTATAGGTAACCTAGACATTGGGGGCAAAGAAAGTAGACACATACTCAAGTGTCCTGGTATGGGGTTAGGAGGTCTCAGGACGAGGGTCTTGATCTCCTAGATGAAGACACAGAACGTTTTCCGCACCCCAGAAGGTTCCCTTGTACCCCGTTCTGGTCTCCCCAAGGGAACTGCTATCCTGACTACTAACAGCACAGATTTAGTTTTGGCTGTTTTGAATTTTAGGGAAATGGAATCTTTTGTGTCTGACTTCTTTTCCCTGCAGCTCAATGTTTGTAAGATTCTTCCATGTTGTTGCAGGTGGTGTGGGATTCTGTTTTGTGAATACCTCAGAACTTACCTACCCATCCGCTTACTGAAGGGCATTTTCAATGCGTTTTTGCGTAGGTGAGAGATCATGCTGAAAGTGCAACTTTAAAAATCTTTTTTTTTTTTTTTTTTTTTTGAGATGAACTCTCATTCTATTGCCCAGGCTGGAGTGCAGTGGTGTGATCTTGGCTCACTGCAACCTCCACCTCCTGGGTTCAAGTGATTCTCCCACCTCAGCCTCCTGAGTAGCTGGGATTACAGGTGCCCACCACCACGCCCGGCTAATTTTTGTGTTTTTAATAGAGACGGGGTTTCACCATGTTGATCAGGCTGGTCTCGAACTCCTGACCTCAGGTGATCTGTCCACCTCAGTCTCCCAAAGTGCTGGGATTACAGGCATGAGCCACTGCGCCAGGCCTTCTATTGAGATTTTTTTAAGTCGGCCGGGCAAGGCGGCTCATGCCTATAATCCCAGCACTTTTGAGGCCGAGGTGGGTGGATCACCTTAGGTCAGGGGTTCAACACCAGCCTGGCCAAATGGTGAAAGCCTAGCCAAATGGTGAAACCCCGTCTATACTAAAAAAAAAAAAAAAAATTAGCTGGGCATGGTGGCACATGCCTGTAATCCCAGCTGAGGCATGAGAATGACTTGAACAGGAAGACAGAGGTTGCAGTGAGCCAAGATTGTGCCACTGCACTCCAGCCTGGATGATGGGAGTGAGACTGTCTCAAAAAAAAACAAACAAAAAAACAAAAAAAAAGACCTTGTTAGAAGACAAGGGAAGAGGCTAAAAAAATCTTGATAACTTAATGGCTTCTTCATGCTCTATTGAACTGACTGCTATCATTTACTTCTCCATTCTCTCATTGTCAAACATTTCCACTATCCATAATTATCAGGAATATTCTGTGAACATCTTAGTGGATCAGTATTTAAGGGGATCCTCATTAGTTGTTAGGGAAGAGTCCGAGAAGTGGCTGAAGAAGTAACCTTGTGAGAAGACTCTTTAGACATAAGACCAAAGTGCTGAAATGAAGCTTGCATTGGTTTGCAAGGGCTGCTACACCAAACTAACACTGAGTGACGTCATCCACAGATGTCTAAGACCAAAGCATCGGCAGGGTTGCTTTCCGCTGAGGCCTCCTCCTTGGCTTGCAGGTGGCTGCCCTCTGGCTGCCTCTTCATGTGGTCCCTGTGCACCCCTGGGTCTCTTTGTGTGTTCCGGTCTCCTCTTCTTATGTATTAAGAACACCTGTCAGATTGGACTGAGGCTCTCCATAGTGACCTCACGTTAACTTAATCACCCCTCTATAGGGCCAGCCTCAAATACAGTCACATTCTGAGGTACTGGGATTTAGTACTTCAACATATGAATTTTGGGGGAACATAATTTAGCCCATAACAGAACTCCTTCCTCAGAGGTTGGAAATGTCCCTTGGTGTCACCAGGCTTGGGTGTAGCCCTCTCGGTTCCTTCCAAAGCTGAGCTGTATTTTGGTGTGAAGACCTCTCTCTTTCAGCTTCACCCGTTTTCCTTTATCAGTTTCTCATCACTTCACTGTCAATCAATCCAGAAACTCTTAACCTTGGAAGCACATTGGAATCACGTGAGTGCTTAAGAGATAATTGTGGTGTCTGTGTCCCCATCCAACAGATTCCGATGCCATTGGTCTGGGGGTGCAGGCTGGGCACAGGAGACTTTAAATCTCAGGTGGGCCGGGCGCGGTGGCTCACGCCTGTAATCCCAGCACTTTGGGAAGCCGAGGTGGGTGGATCACGAGGTCAGGAGATCCAGACCATCCTGGCTAACGTGGCGAAACCCTGTCTCCACTAAAAATACAAAAAACTAGCCAGGAGTGGTGGCAGGCACCTGTAGTCCCAGCTACTTGTGAGGCTGAGGCAGGAGAATGGCATGAACCCAGGAGGCGGAGCTTGCAGTGAGCTGAGATCATGCCACTGCACTCCAACCTGGGCGACAGAGAGACTCCGTCTCAAAAAAAAAAAAAAAAAATCTCCTCAGGTGGTTCCAGTGGTTCCGAAGCAAACACCTCCAGTCTTTGATCTCTCTGTTCCTTGCCTTTTGTAAAGCATGAGACAGGGCACAGTGGCTGTTTAATTACTGTCTTCCAATATTCATTAAAGCTTCATATTCCAAAGCCTGTTCTTAACTCCTCTAAAGTTCATTTCAAAGCTTGGTGGTAATTTGGCTCTTTTGTTAAAATTAAGTCCTTAAAGTAAAAATTAAAAGACAAAATGGAAAACCACTGGGCATAGAAAATCCACCCTGGGTTTAATAGAACATCTTAAGTTGTGGACTAGAGTGAGACTCTTGCTGCTCAGTGCAGGCGGTGGGGGAGCTTGCTATACATTGTGCTCCTTGAGGCTTAGGTTCTGTGGAAGCTTTTACAAGAAGAGGATAAAAGCTAATTTTCATGAGAGCCCTGCTTCTGTGGTGGGGTGATTAGGAAACTATTGTGTTGAGTTTGGGCTCCTCCAAGTTAGCTCCCCAATTCTCAATGTTTGAAACAAAGCTTTAGAGTATTCTCCCCATGGGTGAATCTTACAGACTCACTGAGCTAAGGAAGTCAGAGACAAGAGTACCCACTGGATGATTCCATTTATATGAAGCTCAAGAATAGGTGAGGCACTCCTGTGTCCTTGCACGTGCTGCTCCTCCTGCTTGAGATGACCTTCCCAATCTTGCTCACCTGGAAAGTTGACTGTCCTTCATATCACAGCAGAAAGGCTGTTTCTCTACCTCTAGGATGGCCTCAGTCACATCCTTCACTTGTCACTATTCGTTTTGTTTTTTGGGACAAGGTCTTGCTCTGTCACCCAGGCTAGAGTGCAGTGGCATGAGTATGGCTCACTGCAGCCCTGACCTTCCAGGCTCAAGATGTCCTCCTACCTCAGCCTCTTGAGTAGCTGGGACTACAGGTATGGGCCACCATGCGTGCTTTTTTGTTTGTTTTTTAATAGATGGGGTCTATGTTGCCCTGGCTGATCTCCAACTCCTGGGCTCAAGTGATCCTCCCACCTTGGCCTCTCAAAGTGCTGGGATTACAGACGTGAACCACTGTGCCCAGCCTAGTGTTTGCTTATGTGTGTGTGTTTGCTATTAGGCACTGTGGTGCTTTCTTGGGGGAGCTACTGTCTCTGTATTTGCAGTGTCTGGCACAGTGCCAGGCACTGAGTAGGGCCCAAAACAAGAGATTTGTCACTGAATTGTGTTTATTCCTTTTTTTCTTTTATTTAAAAAAACTGAGACGGGGGTTTCACTATGTTGCCCAGGCTGGTCTTGAACTCCGGGGTTCAAACAATCCTCCCACCTCAGCCTTCCAAAGTGCTGGGATTATAGTCATGAGCCATTATGTCTGGCCAGAATTGTGTTAGTTTAGAATGGGAAATGGAGAGCTGTGACAAGACATTCTTCTGCTACAGCCATTCATTTGTTCATAATGATACTAAGCAAGACGGAGAAACATGTGATTCAAATGCCTCTTTGGGAAACACTCCCTTGTTTGGGATCTGCAGGCACAGGTATGGACAGTTCCCAACTCCAGAGCAGACAGTAGAATGGCTCTATAAAACAGAGGGATGAGAATTTGGGACCGAGGTGGGGCAGTGCTGGAACAATGGAGGGAATTGAGGGGGAGAGGACAGAGAGAGTGGGTAGGGGGAGCTGCAAGGACAGTGGGAAGCTATGCCCAGTGTCATGTAACCTGTCCTCGTAGCCCCAAATCTTCACTGAAACTCCTGAATCCCGTAAAACATTTGATGGGAGTGTATTTGTGTGTGTGTGCAAGTGTGAGCAAGCGTGTGCATGTGTTATTGTGTATGTGGCAGCATGTGTGGTGCAAGTGTGCATATGTGCATGTGTACATACTTGCGTGTGTATGAGTGTGAATATCGAGTGTGAGTACAGAACTGAGAGGAGTTCTGTGCTTCCTGCCTGGACTGTCTCAGGAGTGAAGCTGAGGCAGCATGCGGGCGTCATGAGGAAGTAAGCCTTGGTATCTCAGAAATCACACACCAGAGGGCTGGCGTCAAACCTCTGAGGGGCCAGGAGCTTCCAGCTGAACTGAGTCACACATTTCTGGAGCGCCCCTTTGGGAGAGCAGGTCCTGGCTGACAGGCAGGGCCTACCCACCACGTTGAGAAGCCTGAGTCTCCAAGGGAACGGTGTTCAGGACTGATTAGCAACATCTCCCCCGGGATTTGACAGGAGGTTTGCCCTTCCTGGCCTCTAATGGGTGCCAAGCAAAACGCTGGGCTTTTGGGATACAGAGATGAATCAGATACCTGCCCTCGAGGAGCTCCCAGGCTTCTGTGGGAGGCTGAGAACGTAAAGAGACAATGACAAGCCAGTAGCTAAGGGCTAGGATAAGGTGGTACTCAGAGGCTGGGGGGCAGAGCTGAGAGACACAGTGACGGTGCCTGCAGCAGAAGGGAAGGGAGTTTCCCCGTGGAATTTCTGACGGGGTTTGGGGAAACAGTAGGAGGGCATTTCCAGCAGGGCCCACAGCATGAGTAAATTTTCACAGAATAAAAAGGTAGGGGTGTCTTGGGGGTAGATCAAAAGGAGGTGTGGCAGGAGACGAGCAGGACAGGAAATCCGGGGTGATTGGGAACGGCCCTGAGTGCTGTCCCTAGGAGGGTAGTCCCTAATGGGGTCACCTTGGCCAGGTTTGCCCGTTCTCATCCTGGCAGGCCCTTGGGAGGGCAGACACCCTACAGGTGCAGCTCAGGCATCTCAGGACACCCCCACAGCTGGAGGGAGACTTTCTCTGCCCCTGTGCTCCTGCTGTGTTTGGAGCTGGAAGACCCAGTTCAGACTCTGCGGGACCCTGAGCCCTGTCTGAGCCCTGGTGTTGTGTATGTTGTGAGCCGCTGCAGGTGCAGGACAAAAGGCCACAGATAATTTGCATGGGATGGAGAACACATTTGCAGTTTCCTCCTCTCACAAATTGGAAATTTCACTTTCACAGCCTTTCTTTCCTCATCACAACCACACCAGTTTCTTCATAGCACCACAAGAGTCTGTTGTCACAGAGAAACCCCAGCTTTCCTCTGTGGTGTTTCTGCCTCACTGGCCTCTAGGGCTCCAAAAAGTTCAACACCCAACCATAGATGTCCCCTCCTTCAGGTCTCCTGCAAACCCTGCTCCCACGCCCTGGTTCCCCACCTTGTGGAAAGAGTCTCACACTGGGGTCGGGCCTGGGCAGTAGTCCTGGCTCTGCCCCCAACTCAGTATGGGATGCGAGGCTCTCTCTGGGCCTCAGTTTCCCCATAGGTACCAAGAGCATTCTAGACTTCATTATCTCTGAAAGTCCTCCAAGACAACAGTGACTTTCTGATCTTGAGAGTTTCTTTCTCTTGGGAACCCCAAGATAATCTATAGCACGTGCTGGGGTCTTGGCCCCTGGTGGCCTAGGAACTCGCTTCCTTCGGGCATCTTTTCTGTTTGCTCTGCTGCTGCTCCCCACTCCCTTCCCAGTTTCCTCCTGTCCTCAGGTCTAGTTCCTGCATCTCAGAGTTCATTTGCTCCCTGACGCATCGTAACTCCATGGGAGGTGTTATTTTAGAGGTGCTCAGTCCACGGTGCTAAAGGAGGGGATGGGAGTCGGCTTCCTGGCCCAGGAGGGAGGCCTCTTCTCCATCCAGCCCCTCACTCCCATGCCACAGCCCGGCTCATGCTATGCCCAGAGATTCTTGCAAATAGCTGAAGGTGCCTAGAAGTAACAAGGCTGTTGAAGCTCAATATTTAAACACATTTTTCACTCCCTCCTAACTTGATGAAGTTTGCAAATTGTTTTCTGTTGACAAAATGTGGCAGAGAGAGTGTGAGGGGGTTGAGGGGGCACCAAGGCCTGGGTCTGGCCATTATTCTGACTTGATGTATGACCACCGCAAGCCTTTTCTCAGTTCTTGCCTCAATTTCCCATCTGTGAAGTGAGGAGAGGAGGCAAAGTCGGGTGGGCTAGAGTGGACTAGACAGTCCTTTGGCCCTTTGCAGCTCTGACACCCACCAGAACTTCAAAAATCCTGCCATGGCCGAGACTCCCTTGCAAGATGTTGCTGTGTGCACAGCCTGGCTTGCAGATGGGAAGGGAGGGCTCGTGAAAAGACAAGAATCCTCTGGAGCATATAGGCAGGCTTCCACAGCCAGGTCTGCAGTGGGAAATCCAGAGTGACCCAGGAGGCCAAAGTTAATTGAGGAGATAAAACCAGAAAACTCCCCTGAGCAGCCAAGTGCAGGAAGGTTGTCAATGCAAATTAGCAGGAAGCGATGGTTAGTTGGGTGCAGGCACAGGAGACAGGTGGCTGGCGACCCATGACTTCTCCAGGATGATGGTGGGTCCTGCAGGCCCCCTGAGACTTGGTGTGGAAGATGAGGCAGGGTTGTGAAAGGAGGCTGAGGCGGAGGCGACTTTGACAAGCTCTCCTCCCAGGAAGGTTAACCAGGGTAGGCTGGCAGGCAAGAGGGCGCCAGTGGAGGAAAAGTGAGTGGGGCCTGCAGATGGCTTCCATCTCAGGGAGGTTCCCCGTTCTGCTCCAATCTCCACAGGCTCCCTGGTGGTGGAGAAGGGGTAGGGAGAGGAGCAAGGACTTTTCTGAAGGATGCAGTTAATTGTGAGGATCATTTCTAGTATCTGGGGTTATCGGAATTCATACAGGCTCGGAGGGAGGCTCTTCTCAGCCCCTGGTCCATGCTGGCTGGATGTTTGGATCTCCTTCACAGCACCATGTTAAGTGGCTCAGCTTTTTGTTGCTCGCCTCCGGGGACCAAGAGCTGTGTGTGTCCCAGGCAGCCTGTCCCACTGGTGGAAACTCCAGTCTGGAAGTGTTTCTTCGCACCAAGCCAAAGTCTGTGTCTCTACCTGTGGGCCTGACCTGACGTCAGTCCTCTCTTTCCTCCCCAAAATAGAGTGGTTTGCATCAGCATTCGGCACAATCTACCCATAGATATTCAGTCTGGTTATGTCTATGGTAAATTTTATGTAAAAAGCAGGAATAAATAATATAAAACTATAAGACACAAGAGTTACCTGGTAGGCCTGGTACCGGGTTCTAGGAATTCTAATTTGGCCAAGCTTCTGTGTCAGTTTGCCAGTCTGTGTCTCAGTTTCCATATTCAAGATAAAGACCACTGTGATGCCTAATTCTATATGTCAACTTGGCTAGGCTATGATGCCCAGTTGGTTGGTCAAATGCTAGTCTAGATGATGCTGGGAAGGTATTTCGTAGATGTGATTTATCAGCTGACTTGAAATAAAGGAGACTGACATTGATAATGTGGGTGGGCCTCATTCAATCAGATGAAGGCCTTAGGAGCAAAAGCTGAAGTTTCCCAAAGAAGGAATTCTGCCTTAAGACAGAAATCCTGCCTCAGCTGCCTGCCCTACAGATCTTAGACTGGCTAGCCTACACAACTGTGCAAGCTTGAATAAATCTCTACTATTGGTTCTGTTTCTCGAGAGAACCCTGACCGATGTAACCACCTACCATGTCTGTTCATGTCTTTTAATTCCTTGGAAAGAAAAGCAATTTATGAGTACTAATATTACAAAAGTGCTAATTGCTAATTTGTGCAGTGCTGTGTTAATCTAAAACACATCTCCACACAAGTGACTCATCTCCCCTAGTCAAAATCTTCGATGGTTCTCCGCTGCCACCACTGCCATTGTGTCAGCTGCCTTTTTTTTTTTTTTTGAGATGGAGTCTCGCTCTGTCGCCCAGACTGGAGTGCAGTGGTGCGACCTCAGCTCACTGCAAGCTCTGCCTCCCAGGTTCACACCATTCTCCTTCCTCGGCCTCCCAAGTAGCTGGGACTACAGGCGTCCACCACCACGTGTGGCTAATTTTTTTGTATTTTCAGTAGAGACGGGGTTTCACCGTAGTAGCCAGGACAGTCTTGATCTCCTGACCTCGTGATCCACCCACCTCAGCCTCCCAAAGTGCTGGGATTACAGGTGTGAGCCACTGCGCCCAGCCTGTGTCAGCTGCTTTTTACAAAGCATTATGCAAGTAGTTAATGACTAATATATACATATCTAATATATATACATCTAATGCAGAACTTTTTTTTTTTTTTGAGATGGTCTCCTTCTGTTGCCCAGGCTGGAGCACAGTGGTGTAATCACAGCTCACCACAGCCTTGTTCTCCTGGGCTCAAGCGATCCTCCCACCTCAGCCTCCTAAGCAGCTAGGGCCACAGGTGCACGCCACCACTCCCAGCTAAGTTTTAGAATTTTTGTAGAGATTGGGGTCTTGCCATGTTGCCCAGACTCGTCTCAAACTCCTGGCTCAGGTGATTCTCCCACCTTAGCATCCCAAAGTGCCGGAATCATAGCCATTATCTGGAACCAGAAGACTACCAGAAGAAGGGCTGAGCCCAACACGAAGAGCTGGAGAGATGGGTGAAGAGGGCTATGCACTGTGCCTGGCCTCACTTTAATTCTTGCAAGAGACAGAGATATTATCTTCATTTTATAGATGAGGAAAATGAAACCACACTCTTTAGCTTGAAATTCAGACTTCAGTGATCTGGTTCATTTACCTCCCTCTATTACCCTCATGTGAACTAGAGTCAAGGGAAATTATACTAGACCTTCTTACTTAAGTGTGTCCTAGGTTATCCTACATCCAGGCTGTTGCCTATATTTGTCTTCCTCCTGAGAGGCATTTCCTCTTATCCTAATTATTAGTCTTCTTTATGCTTCAAGAGCTAATTCCAATGCCATCTCCTCTGTGAAGTTTTCCTGGGTCTCCACCACCAGTGACACTAGAAGTGACCTCTCTCCACACACATAGACCCACATGAATGCCTCTTTGTAACTTAAGTTACACTGGTCTTGTTTCAGGGCTTCTCTTTCCTATCTTAAAATGGAAGCTTTCTGAGGGTAGGAAAGAAGTCTGAGAGAGTATGACAGACGAGAACACTGAAATCCATGCAGTTTCTTTCTAAAGCAGTGAATTTTGATTCAAAACACAAATAGGCCTCCTGGACTAAACCTTTTTTATTTTATTTTATTTTATTTTGAGACAGGTTCTCATTCTGGTGCCCAGGCTGCAGTCAAGTGGCGTGATCCTGGCTCACTGCAACCTCTGCCTCCCAAGCTCAAACGATCCTCCTGCTTTAGCCTCCTGAGTGGCTGAGACTACAGGTGTGTGCCACTACAACAGGCTAATTTTTTTTTTTTTTTTTGGTAGAGACATGTTGGCCAGGCTGGTCTCAAACTCCTGGGCTCAAGTGATCCACCTGCCTTGGCCTCCCAAAGTGCTGGGATAACAGGTGTGAGCCACTGTACCTGGCCTAAACTTCTCTAAGAAATTGTATCTATGGTTTTTTGAAAGACCAGGGTTGTTTTTCTCTGGCATTATTTTGGTGGACTTTTATTTTCTCTGGTCTTATCTTCCATTTGAATGACAGGCCCTCTATTGATAATTTAGAAAGCTTACATCTTGTTTCATCTGCCTGAGATTTGACAGAGCGTAAGGGCAAGCAACACCAGCAAGCTCTGTAACCCCCAAAGCCTATAATGCGAGCCCCACATTCACTTCCCCCCTCTCCACCCTTGAAGCCACATTTCCAAAGGAGCCACTGCAAACCTTTCCATTTGGAAGTGCAGTCTTCCAGTCCAGCTGACTAAGTTGTCCAGTTAGTTTTGGTTGTCTCCATTTCGGTAACATCATGCAGAGGACAGTGCTGGGGACCAGTGAGTTGAATCCATTTACTTAAGTCTAACTGTGTTAGGCCCCATGCTGGGCCCTGTGAGAAAGAATAAAGATGACATGGCCTTTATCCTTTCTATCAACAGATATTTGAACCCTTACACACCAGGAGCCATACTCTTTGGAGCACTTAACTCACCTGTACAGTGTCTATCTTCTCTGAAGGCTTAGAAGCCCCAGGAGGGCATAGATAACACCTGTCTGGTTCACTGCGGTACCTCGAGTTCAGAAAGTGCCTGGCACATAACAGGTATTTCAAAAATATCTGTAGTGGAACTGAAGGGGTTTCCATCTGTCTCACCAACTAGAGAAAAAGCCACAGCTCCTTAAGGGTAGAAAGTCCTAGATGTCAGCACAGGACCTGGCTCAGGTCAGATGCTCAGCAAGTGTTTACTGAGTTAGCTGAATGGCCCCATGTTCTGTGGAGGTCCAGCATGGGTCACCCCGACCAGCGCACAGGTTGTGGTGTGAACTCTGGGTTCTTCGTGGGTTCTCATTTGCCTCTGGCTTTTGCTGGGAACTGCGGGCTTTTGCTGTCGTATGTGACTCCCTTTCCTTACTTGTGACTTAAGAGATTAAACTATTAATGGTGTGGAAGCTAAAAACAGACCCGTCTCCAGGAGGGTGCCACAGAATTTTTTTTTTTTTTTTTTTTTGAGACCAGGTCTCACTGTCACCCAGGCTGGAGTGCAGTGGTGCAATCATAGCTCACTGCAGGGGCTCAGGAAATCCTCCCATCTCGGCCTCCCAAGTAGTTGGGAATATAGGTGTGCAAAACCACACCTGGCTAATTTTTTAAATTTTTTTGTAGAGATGGGGTCTCACCATGTTGCCCAGGCTGGTCTCAAATTCTTGAGCTCAAGTAATCCTCCCACCTCAGCCTCCCAGTGTTGGGATCATAGGCATGAGCCACCGTGCCTGGCCTTATTTCTTATTTCTAATTTATTTTAATTTTTTTTTGTAGAGACAAGGTCTCCCTATGTTGCCCCGGCTGGTCTTGAACTCCTGGGCTCAAGTGATCCTCCTGCCTCGGCCTCCCAAAGTGTTGGGATTACAGGCGTGAGCCACTGCGCCTGGCCAGAACAGCCACTTCTAAGCACTTAAGGCTAGGTGTATGCTCACAAAGGGATGGTGAGGGGATAAAACTGATTTTCCCATCAAAACAGTATCAAATCGAGGGATATGTTCATTATCAAGAGCATGATACCTAAAAATGATCACAACCAACCATCATGGCCTGCTTATATAGTCTCTAGACTGTGCACAAGCCACATCTACATGACTGGTTGGGCAGAGAGTGGCTCATGGGGCCACATGGAATCAGAAGACTACCAGAAGAAGGGCGGAGCCCAACACGAAGAGCTGGAGAGATGGGTGAAGAGGGCTATGCACACAGCAAGGAGATTCTCAGAAGCTGGGTCATGGGAAGGCAACCAGGGTGATGCTTACAGCAAGGGCTCACCTTGCTTACCTGGATACAATGGGGCAGAGCTGGGGAGGCTGGGGACTTGCTGTGTGGCTGTTAGACTGAGGGGTGCCCACAGGGAGGCAGTGCTGCACACTGGCCATCAAGGATTATTCTTGAGTGATGCCAAGGGCTACCAACTACCATTAGAACCACAGAATACCAGAGTTGGGAGGTAATGAGAACCCATCCAGGCTAATCCTACCACTTCCAACTTTATAATGAGAAAGCTACGGCCCAGATAGGAGGTCTCAAGTTGTTAGAGCTTCGGGCCCTCTCAAAATGGCATGATTCCTTATGAGAGCATCTGATTAGTAACATGTGTACACTGTTTTACGTAAGACTGAGCTATGTTTGGTAGACGTACTTGGGGGGCATATGTGGACATTTATAAGGATTATTCACTAGTGTGTGCAGGACTGAACTCCTTGAAGAACATAACTCTGGGCAGGAAGGACATGAATCTGGTTTTCCCACAGGAAATCCTTTCTTCACATGTGTACTCATTGTCTCCCCTCACTTGGGCAGCCACAGGGCACTTCCAGAGAGGCTCCAACCTCCCCTGGCTCCCTAACACCATCCTAGTGGCCAAGAGGCTCTCCTTTTCTATTCCCTTTGGGGGTCCTTCCAAGTCTCCCTATGCCCCGCACACCTATTCCATTGTTCTTGGAAAAAGCTTCTCCATCAAGGAGGAGGATACCATCTCCTTACCCTGCTCGCCCGTCTCCATTGGCTTGTCCCTCTGGATCCATCCCTTCCCACTTCCTTGATGTGAGTGCCATAAGTTGAGTTTTATTTCTCCAGCATCCCTCTCTCTTTCGGCAGCTTCCTGTCAATGTCAGCCTCACTCCAGCCAGTGTTCTGTACTGTCAGCCTTTCACAGGCAAGGGTTTAAAGAGACAGACACCCTCCTCTTCGTAGCTGCTCATTCCCTCCTCAATGCACTGCAATCTAGTTTCTTGGCTCACTGCTATCCTGGAACTCCTTTGGCAGAGGTCTGCCACTAAACCTGATAGGTGTTTTCCAGTTCATGCTTTTGTCCAACACACATTTCACAAACTGAAGTATAAGGACATATGTAAGATGAGAAATTATCACTAATTTAAAAGTCTTGAGGAAGGTATAAATCAGAATGGAAAGTCGGACAGAGGAAAAAAAGAACATATGGAAGACCGAATCCCCCGATAAAAGCTTGGAATAAAAACAAAAGTGCAACTAGGCAAAGCAATTCTTATAGTTTTTGAGGTAGGAGTGGGTTGAATAATGTTCCTCCAAAAGATATGTCCAAATCTTAATCCCTGACACCTGTGAATGTGACCTTATTTGGAAATAGGGTCTTCAGAGAGTAATTAAGGATCTTGGGATAAAATTGCCCTAGATAATTTTAGTGTGGGCCAGAAAGCCAAGACACAAGGAGACACAGAAGAGAACCCTATGTGAAGACAGAGGCAGAGACTGGACTTATACAAGCCAAGGAATGCCAAGGATTGCTCAGGCCCACCAAAAGGTAGGAGAGACATGGAAGGAATTATCTCAGCACAACAAGAAGAAACCAACTCTGCTGACACCTTGATTTTGAACTTCTGGCCTCCAGAACTGTAAGAGAACAAATTTCTGTTGTTTCAGGCCACCACTTTGTGGTATTTTGGGACAGTAGCTCCAGGCAACGAATACAGAGTGCATCCTTGCTGTTTCACAGCTCCACGCCTCACACACATGGTTCATGCTCCTCCCCTTTTGTTAAGCTGCAACACTTTTCTTCTGTTATAATGACCCATCGGGAAGTCCTGCCCAGTCTCCCCTCTCTGTAGCAGGACCAATCATGCTTCTTTGGTGTTACCATCATACCCGTATCTCTCACTGCACTCCTCACCTCTAAGACAAAATACTGGTTTTCGTGTTTGTCTCTTGCTTGTTAGCCCTTGAGGCTTGAGATTTCTCCACAGCAAGCACAGGCTATGGACTTTCTTTGCGTCAGGTAGTATTCAAGCAAGAATACTACCTGACGCAAAGAAAGTCCATAGCCTCTGTTTGCTGAATAAATCACTCAGATGACAACAGAAACACCAAAGAGGGAAGGATTAATATTGTCTGGGAGTGGTCATAAAAGGGGAAGAGGATATTTTGGGTAGAGGTAATAGCACAGGTAAAGGCATGGAGGAGAAGCATGACCTATTCAGGAATTAGTCATTCATGTGGTGGGACGGGAAGGGTGAAGGGGATAGAGGAGAAAGAAGAGCGAAGAACTGCAGAAGATGAAGCATGAAAGGCTTTGAATTTTAGGCCAGAAGTTAGACTTCAGCCTGTAGACAGTAGTTTCCGAACGTTGTGCATGTAGTTATCACCAGCATGCCTCTTAGATAAAGGTCCTACTCACAGGCTTAAGAGGTCAGTGACCTCTCCCTGCAAGGCCCCTGCAGGTGGATACTTGCCTTATGATCAAGTCTTCTTGGCCCCATATGGACAAAGCAGGAAGTAAAACTGAAGATAGCCTATGGACTACTGAGCCTAACTCACCCAGTTTAATAAGAACAGTCCCAATTCAGTGAAAAAATATTAAAATGTTTCCAATGGATTACCTGTGTGAAACTAGACTTTGTCATATGTACACACCTGCAAAACGATCACAAGATAATAAACATACAGTTGGTCTATGGTATCCTAGGGTTCTACATCCATGGATTCAACCAACTGCAGATCAACAATATTTTAGTCAGGGAGTGGTGACTTATGCCTGTAATCCCAGCACTTTGGGAGACCAAGGCAGGTGAACTGCTTGGGCCCAGGAGTTTGAGACCAGCCTGGCCAACATGGTGAAACCCCGTCTCTACTGAAAATACAAAAAATTAGCTGGGTGTGGTGGTGCACACCTGTAGTCCCAGCTACTCGGGAGCTGGGACCACAGACGTGTGCCACCACACCCGGCTAATTTTAGTTTTTGGAGAGACAAGATCTCACTAATTTGACAGGCTAGTCTCAAACTCCTGGACTCAAGCAAATCTTCCCATCTTGGCCTCCCAAAGTGCTGGAATTACAGGGGTGAGCCACCATGCCTGGCCAATCTTTTTTTTTTTTTTTTTTTTTTTTTTTACTTTTAGTAGCGATGAGATCTTGCTGTGTTGCCAGACTGGTGTCCAACTCTTGAGCTCAAGTATTCTCCTGCCTCAGCCTCCCAAATGTTGGGATTACAGGCGTGAGCCACCATGCCCAGCCCCAAGTATCTTTTTGTAAGAAGAACTGTTCTGAGATTATGGCTGTAGCGAATGACATTGGTGTTTCATTCATATCTCCATCCGTCAGGGGGCTGCCTAAACCCAATTTACCTGGCTTAAACAATGACTAATTAAAAAAAAAAAAAGATACACACACTACAGCTCCATTGCCCCTTACTAGGGCAACTTTGAGGTGTGGCCTACACTCTTTCTAGCGTTCCCTGTGAGTCTGAAAGTTCCTCTTTATGAGACATGACTTGATAAGCATCCAGCTTGGCTTCCTTCTCTTCTTTTCCCTGTCTCACTTCCCTCCCCACTCCTTTACTGGGTTTTCATGGAATCATTTCCCAGGAAATCATTTTAAGAGGTAACTTAGGCCGGGCACGGTGGCTCACGCCTGTAATCCTCAGCACTTTGGGAGGCCGAGGTGGGTGGATCACGAGGTCAGGAGTTCTAGACCAGCCTGGCCAACATAGTGAAATGCCGTCTGTACTAAAAATAGAAAAATTGGCTGGGCGTGGTGGCACGTCCCTGTAGTCCCAGTTACTTGGGAGGCTGAGGCAGAAGAATTGCTTGAACTTGGGAGGTGGAGTTGCAGTGAGCTGAGACCATGCCATTGCACTCCAGCCTGGGTGACAGAGTGAGACTCCATCTCAAAAAAAAAAAAAAAAAAAAAAAGTAACATATATTAAACGAACAGAAAAACTTTTGGCTCAAATCACACACCAATCAGCTTCATCCTGTGATTCACTGCATGGCAATGTGTAATAAATCACCAAAACATTGGTGCTTCTTTGAAATGGAAAGTCCAACTGTGAGATCTAAGGGCCTATGTTGGATTTGGATCCTGGTGAGGGTTCCTTCCTACAGCCTAATGACATTCTGACCCAATTAAGTGTCCCATCAGATTAGTCTCCAACTCTTTCCTCCCCTCACTAGCTGAATCCCTTTGTTCTCACACCACAGTTCTATATTTTTCTTGCCAGGGCTCAAGCCATAGCCTGGCACTCTAGTGTTTGTTTCCATGATTCCTAAACTATTAATTTCCCTCAGCTGGCTGAGTCTCCAGTGGCCCAGATCCTCCACAAAGTGGTCCAGACTGTAGACCTTCATGCCATGGAACTAGTGTTCCTTATTTCACATGAATGGCCATGTCCAACCAGTCTCTCAAACACTGGCAATATGATGAAATGCAAAGCCTTGTAAGACAAGGGCACATCCTGTTAGATGTGGAAGGCAACGTGAACTCTCTCTCGAGTGAACAGAATTCCATTTGAGAAATAGCTGGGGTTTCAACTAGGGTTTCTGAACCTCAGCGCTATTGACATTTTGGGCCAGATTCATTGTGGGAAGCTAGTCTGTGCATTGTAGGATATTTAGCAACATCTCTGGCTTCTACTTATTAGATGCCAGCAGCATCCTCCTTTTGTTGAGAAAGCGAAGCATAAGACCAGGGGATCAGGACAGCTATAAACAAATGAAAGGCTCCCTTATTTTGTATGTAATTTTTTGTTGGCAGAAGAATTTTCAGTTGTTTCCTATGAGAAGCTTCTCTCCACATCTTTTAAAAACAGATTTTCCCTATATTGCTAATCCTGTCTCTCCTTACACAGACAAACCCACATCAATCTTTTCACTGCAGCACTAATGAATAATGTTTCTTTGCTGCCCATCAGAGTGGCAAAGAGACAAGGGAATGGCAATATTCCATGTGATTGTGGGAATGGGGAGATGAATACTCACAAACTGCCAGGGACATATAAATGATTGGGGAAGAATCTGACTTGGGAATATAATTTGGCATCATGTATTAAAACTTTTATGAAATATATGCATGCTCTCTGACCCTAAATTCCATTTTATCACAATTGAATAAATGGAGAAGATATTATGTAGAAGAATTTTTCAAAAATAATAAAAATTGGAAACAAAATGCTCGACAGGGAGCTGATTAAATCATGGCACAGCCATATAATAGAACATCATGCAAAAGTGCAGACATGTATTTGTTCCCAAAGTAAGTGAAAAACAGGTTACAAAACAATGTATACATAGGTATAGAAAAGTCTGAAAAAATAGACACTAATAATTTTAACTACATTTTTGTGTGAAAGAATCACATATGACTTGTTTTTAACATTTTTCCCCCTTAAAATGATTACATAATCTTTGTATAACAGAAAAATAAAGAGCTACTAATAAGTACTGCAAATAGCAAGGTCCATGAAAGCAAGACTTTCCATGGAGAAAATGGGAGACTGGTTCCCCTTGCTCTGTTTTGAGAAGGCCAAACACAAACCAAGGTAGAACCCAAGATAGGAGCCACTCAAGCTGCTTCAAATCAAAGTTGGGCCAGAGGTAAGATGTTTAGAATCTTCTTAATCCTACCAACTATACAGATCTTTACTGTTTTGGACATTTGCTTTTCTTCTCTTGTATTTATCCATGTAAAGTCTTATTTAATTAATGGTTGAATCTATACATATTTTAAACTCCCCATTGTTGTATGAAGAGTCTGTATGTTAATAAACTGACTGACTGATTCACCTTAACTGAACATTTGGTGTAACAGCTGGGGGCAAGGGAAATGAAGAGGAAATGAAGCAAAGACTCCTCCATGTTTCTGTTCTTCTCTTACCAGGAAATGAAGACTGTATCTTCATGCCCACAGGTGAAGTAGCTCAGCATCCTTTCCTATCTGCATGTAAATACATGGACCCAATAGGTAAATTATACCCTAGAACAAAATGTTTGTAAGTTTTGGGAAAAAATAAGATAATGTGCAGAGACAAACAGAAAAAAAAGTGCTTCCTTTCTCTCCTTCTCCAAACAATCTGCTATGTACGAAAGAACCTAAAGAACGTCAATCCTATTTCTGCCCTGAAAGGAGATGCCTTAGGATCAGAAGGGGTACTTGTTATACCATATGAGTAATAAGCCATGTTTGCCTCAAGTCCTACTGGAGAATAATGCCAATTATCTCAAGGTTTTCCACTTCCATGAAACTTTTTTTATGGCTGCCACATTTAGCAAGTTGTTAAAAAAAAAACCCTGGTTGCTTACTTTAGGGTGAAAACAACTCTAGCTATTAGGAAGCTATGCATCAACATATAATAAAGTTAGCTGAAATCTATGCAGCAACAGGGAAAGTGGTAGACTAAACTCTGTGATCCTACAATTTGCACTAGCACTGATTTGAGAGGACAGAATTCTTCCTTCCTCTCAGAAAGATGAGAGATGATTCTGCCAGAAATACAGGAATCTGCATACTTCCCAAAGAGTAAAATACAAATTTAAGAACCTGACATTATAAAATTGTCCTATTTAATTGATTTCATACCATTTTATTCTGGCAGAGAGCTTGCACTTGGGCAAAAATGGCATTTTTGACTCCAGTCTACAGGGATTTTATAACTTTATCCACCTGCCCAACACAACTATGCCAAGGCCGGGAGTGATGGCTCATGCCTGTAATCCCAGCACTTTGGGAGGCCAAGGAAAGAGGATCACTTGAGCTCAGGAGTTTGAGACCTGCCTAGACAACACAGTGAGACCTTGTCTCTACAACAAACAAACAAACAAACAAAATAAACATTAACTATGCTCTTTGTCACTCAAACTCTCATTGTCTTTTTACATAATAAACACATGTATTTACTCTCAGATATTTTATTTTTCTTAGTCTGACATTAGGTTATGAGAAGTACAAAAGATCCACAAGTACAAAAAAATCTGTATAGCTTTGCGGTAGTTGAAAAAAATGCAAGAGAACAAAAAAATTTTTTGAGTAATATTCATCTCTGCAGATCTGAGTGACAGTCCGCTTGAAACACCGCTGTAAAAGTGGTAAAAAATGATTTCATTGTGATTATGTTAAAATTTTTGATGTCTCTTTTACTTGTTTAGGAAATCTGTCTTCTGACATTTATACTGGATAGTTCTTTTCCTGTATTTTGCTGAAGCTCAATTCCCTGCCTCTTCAGGGCTTCAATGATGACACTTTTGTTTTTATAGTCAGCTAGTGATGTTTTGTCCAAAGGAAGATTCTGACAACAGCTTCAGCAGAAAGAAAATCTGGATATAGGTTTATAGTTATTGTCCTTTCCAAAGTAAAAAAAAAAAAAAAAAAAGTTGAAAAATATTGATGACTTTTTCTTAGTGTTAATTTCTCTTCCTGCAAGGATTTAATTTGAGGATAAATTACCTTTGATGCAGTTTTTTTCCCAAAGTATTTTTAAAACACTTTCTTGAAAAGATGAATTCTTCTACCTATCCCTAGGATTCTGAGTAAAGATGACATATTGGAATAGGAGAAGTCCAGGTTTATCTTTGTACTTTCTTACCTAATATCCTGTTGGACACAGAGAATTGAGATCTCCATGGATATTCAGTAACTCTAGGAATGGCTGAAATTAAAAAAACAAAACCAAAAACTCACTTTATTTAATCATAGATAATAAACACAGTGCCAGAAGGTTATAGACACAAAGGCCAAATGAACAATGAAAAGCCACATCAGAGGCTGCCTGACGGCTTAAGACTTTTTTTTTCTCTGCTTAATAAGAAATAAGTTATCATTGTCATCATCTTCCCAGCACCTCTCCTTTTTCTTCTGCTTGCCCCTCTTGCCTTCCTTGGGAGACTTGTCTTCTCTTGACGTGTGGTAATGTGATGAACGGTGAAAGGGCTTAGAAGGCTTCTGGGTTTTAAAACTGCCAGGAGAAGAGTAGGTTTTGGGGCCCCTGGGAAAATCCTCATCCACTTCACGATGTCTGTCAGCCTTCCTGTGCTTCTCCCAGTTTCTATTCTTGTTCTTCATTTCTTTTTGTGTTTCTTTATTTTCTTGAGGCCACCTGTTGCTTTTCCATGAGGCACGGCCCTTCCTTATATCATGGTGGGGGTTCTCATTTGCTGCTTTTATATAAGGTAGCTTGGATGGCTCTGGGATAACCCCATTTTTCTTGAGTACTGAAAAATATAAAAGTATTTTTGCATATTCAGCAGCTAAACAGTCCATGCTGAGCTTTCCTAAGTGTAAATAACTTAACAGACAGGGAAGCTAGATATTTAAACATGTTAACAGTATGACATCACTCACTAAAAATTAAATAGTTGTAGCTCCAAGTTTCTGATTGCTAAAAATGAAACACATTCAGAAATCCAATGATAGTTAATTATCCTTTTCAACAGTTTAACAAGGTTAAGCAATGGAGATGAGGACCTGTAAGAACAGTAATCATCTTAGCTTTGTGAAGAAAAGTCATGTCTGACCAATACGAGTTTCCCCAATGATGACGAGTCAGCCTTTGAAAATGAGGCAAAGCAAGATTTATAAAATGGCCTTTTGATGGTCTCATATGACATTTCAACCACCCTCTAAAGATAAGGCCTGGCCATAGTACTTTTAGGTGGATGCCAAACTGCCCAAGAGATTATTCCTCCAGGGTAGAGATCACTGGCTTTGAGGAGTGTGTGTGAGTGCACGTGAGTGCGGGTATCTTAGAGGTTTTAGTGATAAAGCTGATGTTAATGTTTTGTCAGAGCTTGACACGCTTAATACGGATCTCTGATAGTGATTCTGATACGGGTAGGTGGGAGATGAGGTTACAGTGAGAGATGAAAACTAGCAGTCAATAGAATCTTTAAAGATTAAAAAAGTGGCCAATAAAAACTTTTAGCATAGACTTTTATTATAAAAATTTCAAAGGATCATAGTGAACACCTCAAAGTGGATTTATGCTACAGACGTCGATACAACTAGCTAAAAAAAAACCAAAATGGGTTTTCTCTAATTATAAGTTATAACTGCTCATTATAGAAAACCTGGAAAAAACAGAAAAGTACAAAGAACATAAAAAACAGAAAGCACATATAATCCTTTAATCTAGAGATGACATTTTCATGCAATTCTTTTTAATCTCTAATTTGGTTGCCTAATCATAATCTACAACTACTATAACTTCTCCACACAGCTGACCCTTGCACAATGAGTTTGAACTACGTGGGTCCACTTAAATGTGGATTTTTTCAACCAAATGAGGATTGAAAATACACCATTCCACAGATTAGAAACTTGTGTATACGAACGGCTACTTTTTCCTATAATCAGGTTCTGCAGAGTCAACTATGGGACATAAGTAAGTGCAGATTTTGGTAAATGAGGAGGCTCCTGGAACCAATATCCAGGGATAGCTGTAGATGACATACATTTTATATTAAATATGTAAAATATGCAGGAGCTGGGAGAGTAATAACTCTATTTTCCTCAGAATTAGTACCTTCATTTTGGAAAGGTCCTGAACTAAGAATCCAGAAGAGTAAAAGGCCAAAAGAGTCAGAAAATAAGGTATAGAACAAACTAAAAAAATACAGAACTGTTTTGTTTTTAAAGCAAGAAAGATAACTTGGAAAACCACCTTGAAGTGAATAACAAGAAAGAACAGAGGTAGAGAAAACTTAAATGATAAGATATTAATTTGGTGATAAAGAACAATGTTTGCAACAGTAAGTACAGAAACCACAGAGGTGGTTGTGAACTTGGAGCTCTGCTTGCAGCGGTGGCCTCTAACAAATGACTTCTTCAGGGAAGCTCCAGGAATAACTTAGCAGGAAAGCCTTTCTTTCCATAAAAAAATACTGGAGAAATACAAATGGAAAAAAAAATAATTACCTGTCAAACAGAAAAATCTCAAAGGAGCCTTTAAAAACTCTGCCTATATAGATGGACAGCAATATTTTCTGGACATTTCCTAAAATGATCACTGTAAAAAAATGTTTACTGTGAGGAGATTGCAACATGGGATTATTTCTGAAGTGGGTGCTTGGTTTCTGGAGATCAAGAAAGTTCCAGTCTCTTTGGTAATTACTAAAAATACTTTCTATGCTAACCAATGACCCCCAAAGCAGGCAAAGACAGTACAAACAAAGAAATTTAGAAACTACTGCAAATGTGATCTAACAAGAAGTCTAGCAACATACCTTTTATTTTTTGTTTTAGTCTCTTTTCTCTCTCCTGAATTTCATATTTGTCATCATAGTAGCAGATGAATGGAGATACTGGAGACGGGTCATACACTTCTCTTTCTGGACATTCCTATAAATTGTATGTAAAATTATGATGTCACATGGTCACACTGTTCAAAAACCTTTTTGCAAGATTCTGGAGCATGTTAATTAGAAATGAGCCCCATGTCACTGGTACCTCATGTGGTGGCTGTAGGATATGGTCCTTGCTGGGGTGTTGGGAGGGTCACCCAGCCCTAAACCCCACTGTGTTATGATATTCTTTCAAGCTTGAGTTTTCTTCCCTTACTTCTTTACCTATGAAACCCTTCGTATCTTTTTTCAGCCTTTTCTGCCTAACTCCTTTCACAGTCTGAGGTAGCAGCCTTGCCGCTCTGTTAGTGGGTTTATGTTATTCGGCCTCATGTTAGTATTACTCCTTTGCTTGTCCATCACTTCCAACAGCCTTCTATCAAGTTCTTTTCCATCTCTTCTTCCTATCCCCAAAATGTGGGTATAAGTTCTAAGCCCTTTGATCTTTTTTTCTAGAGACAAATGGTTTGCAAGCTTATTTTAACTCAACATTCACTGCTTATAGGGGTAGTGATTCTTAACGGTGGGGGGTAGGTTGGTGGTAGGTTATGCCTAGTTTAAAATTGTTCCTAGGTAATTGTGAGACACCCCAAAAGAAGTTTCTCTTCTTGCTTCCGCCACCCAAGTTGAAATCCCTACTCTTACTCATTTTCCCAGGACAGCTTCCTACTCTCATGACTCTGGCCTCTACCCAGCTAGTATTTCCCAAATCCATAGGCTTTGGCCTGAACCACTCACCACATAGCAGGCTTTTGTTTATCATGATCTGTGACACAGATCCATTCAGCATGTTTGAAATCTTTTCTTTTGGAACTTTCCCCTTTCTGCCTCTGCCATCTTGCCTAAAAGTTACTTTAAAATGTTGTTTCTTAGCTAAGTAATGAAAAACAATTAGAATATATTTTAAAGAGTAGGTGAAAAATCCACATAAAATTAAGCCAAGTCTGAACTAGCCAAGCTAGCAGCCAAACATTTATGTACTTAATTTGTAGAATTAAAAAATTATAAATCATTCTAAACACACAATTTATAAAAAAATAATTAAAAACCTATATTCACCCTCATATAAAACCATAACATTTTACCTTAGTTGCCTGTTTTTCCCCCAAGAATAAAGTATTACTGATATAGCTGAAATCCTCCATGTAAGTCCTTCCCATTTTGCACTCATCTCCTTCCCTTTCCAGAAGTTACCACTGTCATCAAGTTGAAGTCGGCCATTCTCATGTGTTTTTATACTCTTACTGATGAATATTCCAATGAACAGTGATGTAAGTTTTAAGTTTCAGACTTCATAATTTTTATTTGTTTTTTGTAGAGGCAAGGTCTCACTATGTTACCAAGGCTGGTCTCAAACTGGCAGCCTCAAGTGGTCCTTCCAACTTGGCATCCCAAAGTGTTGAGATGACAGGCATGAGCCACAGTGCCTGGCCTTATTCATTTTCTTTAATGGTATTGGTTCAGTTGATTTGTTCTTCTTGAGTCAGTCTGGTTAATTTATACATATATTTTAGAGTTATTTGCCTTTTCAGATTTAACTTTATGAAGTAGTCTTATAATTTAAAAACATTTATATAGTATCTTAAGTTACTCACACTTTCCACTCATTGTTTATTAGTACCTTTTTTCTTTCAGTAGTTTTTCCAGAAGTTTCTCTTTTGTTTGAAAAAAAGAGTTTTCAAATAATCAGCTTTTGGTTTTGTTGATGCTGTTCACTTTTCTATTTCAATAAGTTCGGTTCTAATCTTTATCATTTCCATCCTTCTGCTATCTTTAGATTTATCTGTTGTGACTACCTGGATTATTTAGATTGTTTTTTTGTCGGGGGGAGGGTCCTAGAGGTTATATGGCAAACTTACATGGTAACATAAAGAAACGCTTTTGGCAGGGCATGGTGGCTCATGCCTGTAATCCCAACACTTTGGGAGGCCGAGGCAGGTGGATCACCTGAGGTCAGGAGTTCGAGAACAGATGGCCAACATGGTGAAACCCCAGCTCTACTAAAAATACAAAAAAAAAAAAAAATAGCCAGGTGTGGTGGCACATGCCTGTAATCCCAGCTACTTGGGAGGCTGAAGTAGGAATAGCTTGAACCTAGGAGGTGGAGGTTGCAGTGAGCCAAGACTGCGCCACTGCACTCCAGCCTGGGCAACAAGGGCGAAACTCTGTCTCAAAAAAAAAAAAAAAAAAAAAAAAGAGCAAATTGTGATTATGCAAAGGTAACAGAGGTCTTGATACACTCAACTAATACTCATTTCAGCAGAATCTTTAACTCTCCCAGCCCGTGCTCCCCCTTTCACACACTCCTGGAGTAATCTTTGTACAGTGACTACTGTTGTCCTTGCTTCCCCAGCTAGAGAGTGAGTGAAATTAGGGAAGGGCAATGTCATATTCACCTTAGATCTAGTCTTTCACATGAGGAATCCATTCAATAATAGTATCTGTAAGGCTGGATTTCTGACATTGAAAGGGAAGGGGTCCACAGACATCTTTAACCACCTGCATAGTTCCCTATTTGGGTCTTGTATGGTCTAGACTGATGTGACTACACAGAGCTATATAATACTACAAATGTTTTCCAAAGCTAAATGTAAATTATATTTTGATTATCCACATCGCTGGTCCCCTCCATTAGCACAGACAATTGATAGTTGGCTATATAATTTATCTACTATTCTGGATTAGCCACACCAATGATCTTCTTCATTAGTGTAAATAATCTAGAGTTCCTCATCTATGGCAGTCATGAGGCTGCCAAATTTGCTTTATTGTAAATTAAAAATTATCTACATCTAGATTTTAGGGATAAATTCCACATGCTTTTAATATATTTCCTATCTGCCTTAACAGAAGTGACTAGTAAGCATCCAACTATAATTGTTTTTCTTTAATTGAACAAACATAAATGCTAAAATTATACCCCTCTGCTTTACAGAGGTAAGCAAGCAAAAATTGTACATCTATGTGATTTGTGTGGTAATGGAAAGCTTATGTGAATATGTTCCCTAAAAGACGTTGACAACATCTGAATGTTTAGTAATGAGGAATGGACAGAGCAGTAAAAGATCTAGAGATGATAATTCTGTAAAAGAAGTCTTCTTGGCTGGGCATGGTAGCTCACTTCTGTAATCTCAACACTTCGGGAGGCCAAGGAGGGAGGATTGCTTGAGGCCAGGAGTTTGAGACCAGCCTGGGCATCATAGTGAGACCATGTCTCTACAAAAAATAAACAAAATTAGCTGGGCACAGTGGTGTGTGCCTGTAATCCCAGCTACTCGAGAGGCTGAGGTGGGAGGATCACTTGAGCCTGGGAGGTCAAAGCTGCAGTGAGCTGAGATAGTGCCCACTGCACTCTGTACCGTGTCTCAAAAAAAGTCTTCACTACTTGGTGCTGAGAGATTTCCTGTACAACTTCTCTGCTTTGGAGATAAAGAAATGGGACCAAAGAGAAAAAATGGGTTGTTTACATCACATGGTTGAGTCAGTAGCAGAGCAAAAACTGCAACTGAGGCTCAGAGCCTCATCCTGGCTTTCATAAGTTATGTCTCACCCCCACGGTTGCTGCTGCCCCAATATGGAAGATAAACTTTATCTGTTTATGGATTCTGTTCAGCACTTTTCTTCGTTGCCCTACAATGTAGGTCTCCAGCTCCCAAGATCTACACCAGTGATGTGTCATAGTTGGAATTCAAGTGGTAACCTGCAATACCACTCACCCCATCCTATTGCTCATACTTCTCAGTCTGAGGACTCCCAACACTGCATGCTTTCTGCCTCCTGACACCAGATCTGGTTTGATATTAGTTTATCTTGGTTTCTAGGCTACTAGAAGCCTACCTGGAGACTGGGAATAATACATTCTTTTTTAAGAATTTTCTACTTTCTGTGCCACTGCCTTTCCTCCACTGCCTCAAGATTCCCAGAAGTATGGGCTCTGAGCCTATTCTTATTACATCCTTTCTCTGAAATGAGCTGCTGCTGCTTCATACTTAATGTGGCATCTGCCTAGTGGCCTCATGCCCAGCTCTCAGCAAGAAGCTTCTTCTGCTTTGACACCTCAGCATCTAGAACACACACAGTTTGGCCTTTTCAGCTGGGGTTAGGGAATATGTTGGCTGGATAGGGAATCTGGGCATTTGTGGGGTAGGTGAGCAAGTCAATGATGCAGCATCTGTTTTTTCACCACTGAATGCCAGGGTTTACATGTATGTGATGTAGACTTAACTGAACATTGTACCAGGGAAAACGGGAGAACTAAGTAGAAAATCTAAAATTGGGCCGGGCGCAGTGGCTCACGCCTGTAACCCCAACACTTTTGGAGGCCGAGGCGGGTGGATCATCTGAGGCCAGCAGTTCGAGACCAGCCTGGCTAACATGGTGGAACCTCATTTCTACTAAAAAAATACAAAAAATTAGCTGGGCATGGTGGCATGCGCCTATAATCCCAGCCACTCGGGAGGCTGAGGCAGAAGAATTGCTTGAACCCAGGAGGTGGAAGTTGCAGTGAGCTGAGATCGTGTCATTGCACTCCAGCTTGGGCAACAAGAGTGAAACTCCGTCTCAAAAAAAAAACCAAAAAAAAAAAAAACAAACCCCAAAACACAACAAAAATCTAAAATCGGCCAGGTGTGGTAGCTCACGCCTGTAATCCCAGAACTTTGGGAGGCCAAGGCAGGTGGATCACCTGAGGTCAGGAGTTCAAGACCAGCCTGACCAATATGGTAAAACCCCATCTCTACTAACAATACAAAAATTAGCTGGGTGTGGTGGCAGGCGCCTGTAATCCCAGCTACTTGGGAGGCTGAGGCAGAAGAATCGCTTGAACCCGGGAGAAGGAGGTTGCAGTGAGCTGAGATCGCACCACTGCACTCCAGCCTGGGAAACAGAGCAAGACTCCGTCTCAAAAAAAAAAGAAAATCTAAAATCATGCTATGGCGGTGTCAAAGCAATTGTGTTTGTAAGAACTCATGAGAACTGCTATCATACTGTTGACTATTATATTTGTTTGATTTTATGAACTATATTAGTTTTATCCCAACCTGTTCATGTACATGTAACATAATTAGAGGAATATGCTCTGATAGCTTGTTACTCTAGCAGGGAGGGGAGGGGTAAACCAGTTGAAAATATATTAAGTCTTACTTTAATGTTTATTAAAAAGTAAGTATTTAGAGTTACATTCTTTTTGAGTTCATCTTTCAGAAAACACTCCCTGACAACAGAATGCTTCATGCCCAAATGTCACTCAAACTTACGTGTCCATAATGGCCTTTTTGCGCGCAGTGATAGCAATATGCTAAGGCTGATGGTCTTGAAGGGGTCTTCGGCTTTTTGGGTGGTCCAGGTTTGGTCTGCAACATGAATATTTGTGAGGGTTTGTTGATGTTAGAAGAAAATTAAAACCTCATTCTTTCCAAAAGAGCTTTATAGGTAAGGGATTCCTTAGAAGTTTCTTAGAGTTTTGTATGGAGACCTGTATTCAGGCGATTCCATATATTAAAGTATATAACATGGTAAGAACAATTCTTTTACTCTTAATGTCAATGTGTGCTTCCCTCTCCTTCTTCCCTCCTCATTCAATTTGGCATTGTGCCAAGTACTGTGTTCGGTATCCAACACAGTATAATGGGCCAGCAGAACATGAGAGGCATATACATAATTACAAAACAATGTCAATACAGTGACAGTAGTATGTACAAGGCATTAATGGAGTGGTGAGGGGGACTCCCCCACCAGCGGATGGGGTTAAAGAAGGGTCAGAGAAAGTTTCCCTGCAGGTGTAAAACTTAAATTTACTCTCAAATTAGGTGTAAATCAAATGGAGAATCTTAGGCAGAGGGAACAGAATGAACAGTGACATGGAACTAAAAAAGAGCATACATGCTGCCAAAATATGACATACATAGCCGGGTGTAAATGGAAGACAAGGTGGAAAAAGCAGGGCACAAGAATGGAGGGCCTTGTAAGTCAAGTAAAGGAGCATGAGCTTTATCCAGTTTTAAGTGTCGAAGTTAGGATAGTTGTAGTTTGGGCCAGGTGTGGTGGCTCACACCTGTACTCCCAGCACTTTGGGAAGCTGAGGTGGGCGGATCACGAGGTCAGGAGTTCAAGACCAGCCTGGCCAGCATGGTGAAACCTCGTCTCTACTAAAAATACAAAAATTAGCTGGGCATGGTGGTGTGTGCCTGTAGTCCCAGCTACTTCAGAGGCTGAGGCAGGAGAATCGCTTGAACCTGGGAGTCGGAGGTTGCAGTGAGCCAAGATCGCACCAATGCACTCCAGCCTGAGCGACAAAAGCGAGACTCCATGTCAAAAAAGAAAGAAAGAAAGAAAGAAAGAAAGAAAGAAAGAAAGAAAGAACGAACTGGTATCACTTGGTCATTGAAAAGACGTGGGGAATGAGGGAAAGGAAAAATCAGGATGCCTCCAGATTTTGAACATGGGTGAACAAGGATTGATTCAGAAAAAGTAGAAAAAGAAAGAGGAGCAAGTTTAGAGGCAAAGTTGATGAAGACTGTCTTGGATATGGAGTATCTAGGTAAGGATCTCCAGGAGGCAGTTTCTATGTAGAGACAGAAGAGTCTGAGCTGAAGAGTAGATCTGAAAGTAATCAGCATAAGAGTGAAGGCTGAAATCACTAGAGTGGACAGGATCACCATGGACAGTGTAAGAGTGGCTGTGGGCTGAGGAAGGAACCCTGAAGACATCAATGTTTAAGGGGTGGGCAGAGGAGCCTGTGAAATGGACATAGAAGGGAAGGTTAAAGGATGCAGAGACATAGGAGAATACAGTAACAGACTTTAGAGTTGTTTCAAGAAGGATGAACTGATCTACAATGTTAAATATAGCAGAGAGGCCTAGTGAGATTAGGACTGAGAAACATCCACTTGAAGTGGCAACTGCTCACAGATAACCTTACTGTGAAAATTCTGAGATATTCTAGAAAGAGTACAAGGCAGCAGGATGAACAGTAAAGTAATGCATACAAAGGTGGTAAAACTACAAAAAGAGCAAAGAAATCATTACTCATAAAAGCCAGGATCTGTGAACTTAACCCGGATTTTTTTTTTCTTTAAAGCCAGGTTACTTCCAGTGAGGAGAAACAGCACACAGGATATTGGCATAGCTGAAATTTTCTGTTACTTCAACATGGCGATAGTTAACTTGTGTGTGTATTACATAACTAATTTATTCTTTTGCACATGTATTTTACATACTTTTCAGTATGTATATTAGGTTGGTGCAAAGGTAACTGTAATTGCAGTTTCTGCCATTTAATAGCAAGAACCTCAATTACCTTTGCACTAACCTATTATTTCAGAACAAAAAATGTTTTAAAAAATTGAATGGAAGTTGTAGGAGAGAGAAGTTATATATTGAGAAGCATGAAGCGGCAGAATAAGATGAAGCAGTACCCAGGAAGGGGATTTGGTGGAATCTGTTTATAGAATGGGAAAGACTTGAACATCTGGGAAAGATAATGGAGATGGAGAAGTTGAAACCAGAGGAGGAAAGGAGATGATGGACACAGACCTCTGAGGAGGTGGTGGCTGTAAACAGGGGGAGAAAAACCTAACCCCTGCACACCCCCACGCTTTGTGGAGACTGGAAGAAAAGTTAAGGATCGGCTTAAACGTGGATCACTTTATTTCTTATGTTGTTTATTGAAAGTCTTTAACAAACAGTGCTAGTCTGCCAACTAATTTTTTTTTTGGACAGGGTCTTCCCCTGTTGCCCAAGGTGGAGTACAGAGGCACAATCATGGCTCACTGCAGCCTCGACCTCCCAGGCTCAGGCGATCCTCCCAGTTCAGCCTCCCAGGTAGCTGAGACCACAGGAGTGCACCACTACGCCTGGCTACTTTAATTTTTATATTATTGTTTTTTAAATTTTTGGTAGAGACAGGGACTCACTATGTTGCCCAGACTGGTCTGGAACTCCTGGGGTCAAGTGATCCTTTCACCTTGGCCTCCTAAAGTGCTGAGACTGCAGGCATGAGCCACCATGGCCAGCCCTAATTTTGTTTTTTCTTTGAGACAGCGTCTCGCTTTGTCGCTCAGGCTGGAGTGCAGCAGCACAATCTCAGCTCACCACAACACCACCTCCTGGGCTCAAGCAATCCTTGGGTTTCAGCCTCCTGAGTAGCTGGGACCATAGGTGCTTGCCACCATGCCCAGCTATTTTTTCTATTTTTAGTAGAGATGGGGTTTTGCCATGTTGCCTAGGCTGGTCTCAAACTCCTGGGCTCAGGTGAATTGCTTGCCTTCGCCTCCCAAAGTACTGAGATTACAGCCAACGTGCCCAGGCCCCCTAATTTTGTTTTTAATGTTGCAAACAGGTGTTTTGTAAAGGTCTTATTTCCTTGATATAGGAAAATAATAAATAGGTTATAAAAATCTTCTTCAGGTCAGGCACAGTGGCTCATGCCTATAATCCCTGTACTTTGGGAGGCCAAGGTGGGTGGATCACCTGACGTCAGGAGTTTGAGACCATCCTGACCAACATAGAGAAGCCTCATTTCTACTAAAAATACAAAAATTAGCTAGGCGTGGTGGTGCATGCCTGTAATCCCAGCTACTCAGGAGGCTGAGGCAGGAGAATCACTTGAACCTGGGAGGCGGAGGTTGCAGTGAGCAGAGATCGTGCCATTGCACTCTAGCCTGGGCAACAAGAGCGAAACTCTGTCGCAAAAAACAAAACCCAAACGCAAACCCAAACCAAACCAAACCAAACCAAACCAAAACAAAAAAAACTACTTCAAACAACTTTACTTTCAGCTCTTATTCCCTAAAATGAAAAACTGTAGCAAAACAATAACCTCAATAATCTTTCCTACTGAAAGCTACACAAAATGGAATTTACAACCTCAGGTATTATCAATTGAGATATAATAAAAATAACAACCGTTTTATATTCTGCAATTAAAAATGGGGTTCATAAATTAAGACTAGCTAAAAGTCATTAAACAAGAGTTTTTTTTTTTTTTTTGAGATGGAGTCTTGCTCTGTCACTCAGGCTGCAGCACAGTGGCACGATCTCGGCTCACTGCAACCTCGGCCTCCTGGGTTCAAGTTGTCCTCCTGCCTCAGCCTTCAGAGTAGCTGGGATTACAGGCACATGCCAGCACGCCTGGCTAATTTTTGTATTTTTAGTAGAGATGAGGTTTTGCCATGTTGGTCAGGTTGATCCTGACTTCAAGTGATCCGCCTGCCTCAGCCTCCCCAAATGCTGGGATTACAGGCATGAGCCACCACACCCAGCCTAAACAGAGTTTTAACAGGTACGCATGTAAGCCATGTATCCCTTATTGCAGTGGTTCACAAATTTCTTCAGATAGAACACTGTGAAGACATGAAATTATTAAGCAGAAATGATTTTCCACCCACAAAGACAGCTATATTATTTGACGTGACATCAAATTGCAGCCACAAGCATACATGGCTTAAGAGAAATAAAAACAAAAGAGATGATGTCATAGATATGAAGGCAGAATGGATGTTTCAAGGAAGAAACTGTTAAAAGCTACTGATGGGTTATATAAGATGAAGACTATGAAATCCACTGGACTTAGCAAATAGGAAGTTGTTGGCAAGTGGAGAAACTATTGTGAGTAGTTTCTTTCGAGGGGTAGAGGTACAAGCCAGATTGTAATGGATTTATTATAAGTAGAAAGCTGCTGAAGAACAGAACATAGGTCACTTTTCCTAGAAACTAGGCTGTGTATGCAAGAAGGGAAGGGGACAAGTAGAGCAGAATACAAGTCGAAGGATGCCTCCATCAGGGAGATTTACCAGAGTGCTGGGCCCATGGCATGAGTGTATGCATGCATTCCTTCATTAATTTGTTCAAAAAATAATTATTGAGGGCCTAATACATGCCAGATATTGTTCTAAGATCAGGTAACTGAGAAGTGAGCAAGATAAAAGTCATTGCTCACATCTCCAGTGGTGGAAGATAAATAGAGCCAATAATACACAAACATACAAAATATTAGCGAAAAATAGTATGCAAACAATTAAAATAGTTATATGAATGAGAATCACTAGTGATGACTTAGATTGACTTTTTGGGGGAAGCCTCAACTAGGAAGGTCCTTTCTCATAACAAGAAAAGCCATGTATGTGATGTCTGGGAAACACCACTCTTGGCGTAAGGCATGGGGAACGAGTAGTACCGAGTCCTATGGTAGGAACAAACTTACCAAATTTGAGGATTTGAAAAAAATACCTGTAAATTTGGAAGTGGAGTAGGTGAAGGAAGAGTGAAAGAGGAGGCTCTAGAGGACAGGGAGGGACCAGATCACTTAGGGCTTTATAAATTAGGGTGAAGAATATCGGATTTGTTTTAAGTGGCATGGGATGCCCATGATGGGTTTGAAGCTAATGGTAGGTGATCAATAACTAGTTGGTAGCTGTCAGCAGGGATTGTGATGATAAAAAGGATCATCCACTCTCCAAATAATAAATGCTCTCTGAAAAGGTCTATGTTCACAAATATTTCTATTTATGTTTGTTTGTGCAAATATAAGACATAACTTATCTTTTAATTTAAGGTTTTTAGGAGATGGGGGTCTTGCTATGCTGCTGAGGCTGGTCTCGAACTCCTGGGCTCAAGCAATCCTCCTGACTTGGCCTCCAAAAGCACTAGGATTACAGAACTGAACCACTGTGCCCAGCTGGTTTTACATTTTTTAATGGCTAAAATAATAATAATCACCACAGAATAGTTTGCAACACATGAAAATTATGTGAAATTCAAATTGCAGTGTCTATAAAGTTTTATTGGAACACAGGCACACATATTAGTTTACAAATTTTCTATGGTTGATTTCATACTATAAGGATAGAGTTATAACAGAGACCATATGGCCTGCCAGGCTAAAATATTTACTACCTGGCTCTTTATAGAAAAAGTTTGCTGACCCCTGACCTAGAACATAGGAAGTGCTCAACAAACAAATAGGTGGTGAATGAGTAGGTATTAAGGACTTCAACAGAGAGTGGAAATAAGTTATGCACCAATAAAGGTGGTGAAAGTAGATACAAACACTGAAAATCTCTGCTACTAATTGAGTGCCTGAGAAAAAGTTTCATGGAATTTTTCCGAATTTAGTTACTTTATTGCCTAAATTTGAGGAAATAACAGGTAGTTCTCATGATTTATCCCTTAGTAGGAATTTTTCATTCAAAAGTTATTGAGTTCCTACTTTGTACAACACATTGTAATAGACACTGCGAGGAATACGGAGATAATAGATGAAAGAGCAAATATAGTAAAGATTTTAAAGATGAAAGCACTAGGGAGGCTGAGGCCTACAAAATGGAATTAAGTGTGCATCAAATACATATTTTCTACTAAAAAACTGCATCAGCACAATTTCTTCTGAGATGCTGTTAGGCCAGAGCCTGAAAGAACAAATCATATGTCTTGCTGCTATAGAATGAATCCTAAATGAGTTATTTAGATTTTAAAGAATGAAATATTTTACAATCAGTAACATGCACATGGCACACAATTCAAAAGACACTAAGAGGTGTGGTGAGAAGTCTGTCTCCCACTTCTGTTCTCACTCAGTTCCCCTTTCCTCAACGGCAATTACTGTTACGAGATTCTCGTGTTCACAGAGACAGTACAGGCATATACAAGTGTATGGCTATGCGCATGTACTATATATGTACACACACATAATACAAAGATTATGTTTGGCTTATTCAAAGAAAAAGCATGGAAGAAAAGTATTTTAACGACTGGGGGCAATCAAGGGCAAAATTGGCAAACTCTTCCTAAGACCCAGATGCTCTGATAAAATTTATTTATCCAATGCATTTTGGGATTATGTTCTAATGTGGGCTCCACTATTTACTGACTATGTGACCTTAGTCAAGTTATTTACATGGTCTTTCCTTCATTTTACTCATCTGTAAAACGGGAATAATAACAGTAAGAGTGCTCCCTCATTAACACTGCTGTGAGGCATAAATGAAACATACTCATCTTACATAACAACCTATCAGTAAAACCTGACCAGGTGATCACTTCCTCTTGCAACAGATTCTTCACTTAGCTTCCCAGACAACACGCTCTCCTAGTTTTCTTCCACCTCATAGGCTATTTCTTCTGCAGTCTCCTTTGTTGGCTTCTATCCATCTCTCTGTCCAATTACACTGCAGTGCCCCAGGGCTCAGTCCTTAGACTGCTTTTCTTCTCTATTGAATCTGCTCTCATCTAATAGTATAGATTTACATTAACCTTTTCGCTTGCCATTCTAAAATTCTATCTTCAGCCTTGATCTCTGTTAACTCTACACTCACGTATCTCTACTAGAATGTCGAACAGGCACCTCAAATTTAGTTAGTTAAAATCAAATCCTGTTCTTCCCCCACCCCAAATATGTTCCTCCCAAAATCTTTCCCATCTCATCGGCAACTTTGTCCTTCCAGTTTCTTAGGCCAAAAACGAACAACCTTAACTTGTCTCTTGCTTATACCTCATACCCAGCCCATCAGCAAAGCTTGTTGGCTCTGCAAATACATCCACCTCTTTCCACTCTACCAGTACTGTCCTGGTCCAATTACTCAACTCTCGTTTGGATGATTACAAGAACATCATAACTGGTCTCTCCGCTTCTATCCCTGCCCTCTACAACATACTCTAAACCAAAGATGATCCTTATAGCCTGCAAATCAGAACATACCACTCTTCAGCTCAAAACTCTCTAACAGCTTCTCATCTCAGAGAAAAAGCCAAAAACTTTACAATGGCCTGTAATTTGCATCCTCCCACCTCTCTAACCTCATCTCCTACTACTTTCCCTCACAGCAAGCCTGTCATGCTGGCCTTTTCACTGTTCTCTGAATACCCCAGACAAACTTCCACCTCAGCGCTTTGCACCAGCTACTTGATCTGCCTGCATCACTCTTCTCCCAGATTTAATATAGTGCACTCCTTCACTTCCTTCAAGCCTTGGCTCAAATGTCATCTCAGTAAGGCCTTCCTGAGCACCCTATTTAAAATGGCTAGCTCCCTCCAATCTGTACTCCCTATCCTGCTGTACTGCCATTTTATTTTAAAAAGACCAACCAACCAACCAACCAACCAAACAAAACTCAACATGGCACTTATCATATCTGACATACTATATAGTTTACTACCTATCCACTCCCAACCCCATCCCCAGGCTAGGAGAAAGTAAGTTCTGTGAGGGCAGGGATTTTTGTCTGTTTTTGTTCACTGCTGTACTTCAGCTCCTGGAATAGGGCCAGGCATATAGTAGTAGTTCAGTAAATATTAATGAATGAATAATGAGGTAATGCATAAGTAAAGCACATGGCCTACAGTAATCATCCAATATGATTTAGCTCTTGTTAATAAAAACTTGCATACTTTGGGAAACTATTAATTTTTTATGTCATTAAGGGAAAACCTATCAAATCATGCTTAAATATATTAAAAAGCTTGAATAAATTAATAATACAGCTTCCTTATTGTCTCCCCTACTTCACACTGAGAATGTGGTATATACTCTGACAAAATCAGGAAGGAATTAGTAATGCCAAGTGAACAGGAACTCAGTCTTACAGTACCAGGGACAAAGAGATCCTTCTTAATCGAGATTTTGAAAGCATGTTTCATGTTGACACTTCTTATTTTATTTTAAAGGAATCTCAAATTTAGCCCCTGAAAGAAATGTAAACATGTGGATGTTCATTCATCTGAATAATGTCAGTAGTTAAAAACTTCCATTATTACTAATAAAAATAGCAACAGTATATTGTGCTATGAAATTCTAAACTGTTTCACAATAATTAATTAGTAAATGACATGACAAACGCTATCTACATACTCTCATTTTAATAAACTATCATGTACTAGGGCTTAATAGGAATGAAATCAGCCTAGATCTTACCTAATTAGAGAACATTTCTGTATTAGAATACACTACTGAAAACTCAATAGTGGTTTCCAGTGGACAAGTTTTCATACTATGATCTAACAAAAATCTCTAAGCTATTGTGTTAGAAATATAAATTTGTGACTCAATACTTATGCCTTGGAGCATGTCTTTATTTTTAATTAACAGTAAAGGTCCAATTTAAAGCAGAATGTGTCAACTGATTAGCTCTAAGTTCAGTGTTCTGTCATACGTGCCTGTACTGCTGACAAAAAGTTAAATGCAAGGCAATGAATGTAGTTTTTGTGAACTTTTTTAAGTCAAAATTTCATCTAAAGACTTTGACCCAACGGATACCAAATTAATTACTTATAAAAGCAGGCCTTTTGTATTTCTTTTTTTTTTTTTGGTTGCAGACATTTAAATAATCTATATTTGTAGGGTGATATCTTGGAGATTACTTTACTATCAATATATAGAAGTAATAACCTGGTAGATAGCATTACCTATGAAAGGTCCATCCCATCTGCTATTCTTGCTGAAAGCTTTTCATGCACCAGTAAACTCAGTAAATATCAGAAGATAAAGCATAAGCCTACCACGCCACGGATTTACTCCTAATGTCTCCTCAAAGTGCAGCCCGATGCAACGATTACAAATGATTTTCTTCTAATGTCATTTTACATAACCCTTTTTTCTGCATGAGTAGTTAGTGTGGAATGAATGAATGAATGCCATTAAAACAGTTAATCATTATCTGGGACACTGGCCTTACTCCCTTCACTACTAGGAATCTCCATGACAAAGGCCAAGAGATCAAAATGCTAGAGCTGCCTCAGTGTCCTATTTCTAACAGTAATTTTTTATGCAAATGAACCTGCTGGGCATCTCCCTCTGTGACCTTCAGCTGCCCTTATCTAAACTGACTTTGATCCAATGAGGGCTTGCATCTAGCTGAAGCTCATTACTATATACGATATGTAATCAATTTCACTAATTAAAGGGTATTTTCTATTCTGTGAATGCAAAATGGATTTATTTTTATAATCACACATATGCTTAAAGACTACACTATGTGTTTCTATTTATTAATCCAGTTTGCTATATGACATATATTAAAAAGCAAATATATTAAATACCTGAGGTAAATGCATTCATAACCAAATATAACACTGAGAAAAGTAGAGCTTGGCTCCAATCTTACTGACTAAATCACATGTGCCTAGGCACCTCTTCAATCAATATGATTTTCATGTTTGAGAACAACCTTATTCTTTCATATTTCCAAATCAATTTATGCCTAAAAGAATCAAATAAAGAAACCTAAAAGTTAGGCAAACTGTTTTATAGTGAACTGAACCAAAGCAGAGGCTGTGAGACAACAAAGATGATGCTGTGTTACAAAAAAGCCAAAAACTGTTCCCTTTCCTCCCTTTAAGGTGTTTTTCTGAGGTGGATCCTCACACCTGGGACCTGAACTCTAGGCCTACTTCAACTGAGGTTTTGGACAAAGTCTTCCATTTGTACACTGTTCTGGCAAATATTGACAGTATTACTTCCCTTTCAGGAATACTAGGAGGAATTTTCTCCAAGCTAATGGCTTTAGAATTATTTTAAAAGAGTGCTGTTTTTAAAGCTTTTATTTTTGCTTAGTGAAAAAACAGAATTCCCCTGTATTCTAGTGGACATTGCTACTAATTTTCCTCATATGTTAAAAATGGCATTAAAAGTACCATGTGTACCATATATACATAATACTTTTATGTGTTAAAAAACCATGTCATGTACCCAACAGACTCCCAATCCATTGGGTAATTCCTTAATTAGGCAGATTTTTGAAACATGTATTATGTACACAACAGACCGGAACGTCTCCTTTGGAGCATTTTCTAGTCTATCGGGTGATTACATCATTAAGCCACACATGCTACGTAGAAAAAATCCTTATGAAAATTCATGAAAAAATGTACAGCACATCATTAGCATGCAACAGACATGTATGCTTTTGATATTTTCTCTGTTTAAAAAGAAAACAAAAAACAACTACATGAAGTAATTAGTCGAGGTCGTGAAAACATGGGAAAGGTACCCAGATACTGGTAAAAATAGTGAAAATAAAAATAGTAAAAAAATGCATCTCTCATGGTTTACCTGAGAGTAATTTGCCATATTGGAAAAAAGATTCTTAAAGAGTGTTCATTTGAACTGCAGAATAACGTGTGTTGCTTTAGTTATTTGATATTTCCTGTATCTCTGTAACTTCCTCCCTACTTCTCTTTTGGATACACTGAAATTTTATAAACCAATGGGTTGAAAAGCTGCGAATGACCAATCACTCAAGGTCTTGCACTACTTTATGTTTGTATACTTATGTCTTCATTTTATGTAGTCAAGAGTATAAGGGATTACATCATTGTATCTTTTTCAGTAAATCGAAAACTACATTAAAGTAATGTAAATAGATATAAATTATTGGTATAACTTCCAATAGTGAAAGGGTTATATATTCACAACATTAACCACTATGCAAAATCTAAAATATATCTGAAAACTAAAAAGAAGCACGAGTTTTATAAAAATGAGCTATTAAGCTTATTAATTTATAACCTTTCTTTTTGTAAACAGGACACTCCCCCTATCAAAACAACTCCAACAACAGAAAGAAAACCTCAGTAAGCAGAGAACAATGAACACACGCAACACAGTAAGGATCAGAGTAATTCACTTCCTGAATGCTCCAAATCTTCATGGCTTAAAAAGCATCCCAATTTTCTCTAAAGGTAGTAGCATTTATTCATTGGGCCATAGCTAATTTTACATGGAATGCAAAAATGTTAGTTTAAGTTTAATATACCACCCTATTTAAATATTTCCAATGTAGCTCTCAAACTGCAGAGCTATCCCTCCGTCTATTTTAATTTTAAAGTAAGTTAGCAAAGGCTTCCTTCTTAATCCCCAGAGACTACCTACATAGTGACACAAACGCACAAATTTATGACAGCAACATAAATGCTCTTCTGAAGTAATGTGCAACATTAAGTGAAAATCGTTTCCTGGAAAGATATTATAGGTATCTATATTTTATTTGCCATCTTAAACATATCTGAGTCTTTATGGCCTTATTTTAAAAATGTATTTCCTTTTTATATTTCCTGGTGCAAATGGACTGCATAAATAAGCAATGTGCTATGAGGCTTCAGACCAGCCGATAAAACCTTTCAATTTTCATGCCAGCTTCTTCTTTTGTAATTCAAATCCGCCTGGAAACTGGCAGCTCTGAAAACTGAAACAAGCACTGCCACAAATACCTTGTAATGCTATCGACCTTGTCTGCCCATGCAGTGAGAAAGGGGGATGCGTATGTGTCTGCAGCCATCCAGATAACACAACTCATTTTTTTTGGGGGGGGGGGGGGTGGGTGGGTAGGGTGGGGTGGGATAACAGAAGCCAGCCCCAGACTGTGCACCAAAAGCAGTCATTACCAGGCGAGCTGGAGAATAAGTCTCTTCAAAATACACAGTGCATTTAAAAACCATATATGAGGCTGAGCCACTGCTGTCATTACCAATTTTAATTTAGCTCCTTCAGTTTGCCAGCCAGATAAACTCTTTAGTGCTGTTTTTTAATCTATTTGCCACATTTTATGTTTAAGATTATAGTAATATGGACAGAAGAAGGAATCACTTTTAGGGGAAATAAAGAAATAGATCCGCTTATCGGCACCCATCAGAAAGTTCATTAATCAGCCAGGCTTTGTGCCCTCTAAATTGAAAGGTTAAATAATCCTCTCAGGAATATTTCTCGGCCCCTCCGCCAATTGTCCGGAGAGGAGCTGCCATTCATAGCATGCGGGATCGGTGACAGGGTATCTTACCACTGTTTGGACCCCAAACAATGATGGACAAATGGCTTGGTTTACAAAGAAACCATTTAGTACATGGATGGAGAAGGACCACAAGCTTTGATGCAGGATAGAGGGATGAAGGCATGGAGACAGGATGTAGGGGGAAGGGACAGAAAAGAACACATAAATGTGTAAATCCATGGACATTTTATCTGAATGTTTATTGGGCTAGACTATAAAACACAGAAATCACACTAATATACATCTTCCAACCATACAAAATGCTTAACATATTCAAATCTGCTACTATATTTTGCATGTGATTGTACATGAACCCCAATAAAAAAATTATAAAAGAATAGAACCATAGCTCTATTACGTTTATTAGCTAATACATGGGGGATCCAAATAAACCCCAAGATTTTCATTTTTACCATAACTCCACATGACTTACAACACATGGCCCTCCCACCACCTGCCATCCCAACTCTGCTTATTCCACTGTAATACTCTTAACCATCGATCACAAAGGCAGGGAATTCCACAGCTGCAAGGACCTGTTAGAAGGGGGAAGTAATGTTCTTTTGCTTTTACAATATGTTCCATCTGAGCCTTTGCTTGTCTTAAAACAAGGAACAAACATGAAATAGGAATGCTCTTTGAAAGAATACAAACTGCATGTACTGATAAAGTGCTTAAGTTTGAGTTGCCTTTTTCGCTGGACGTATCTGAGAATACAGCTGGAAGTCTGCAGAACTGACCCAGCTCTTATACCACTACATTTTGCTATGAAATCAGGCTGGTTTTTGGTGTTAATCATGTGAAGGCATAAAGTAGTTTTACCTAAAGTGCAAAAAACTGCTATGCTATTTTGTTTCATTTCTTATCTGATTAACATAAGCCCTCTACCCCTAGCAGAAAGTATTCTAATTGGGGTATGTTTATGTTTGGGTGAATTTTTCAATTTCGTTTTATTCTCATCATTTGTATAGAGAGCAAATATTTATATAATTTATTTGCTTATGATAGAGAACTATATTCAGATGGTACTGAAGTTATCACTTAAGACTCACACATTTATTAATATGTATTTTCAAAGTGATATTGCATTTTTATGATACACATTTTATATAGTTATTTTCATTAGGAAAGGAAGTAGCCTAAATGGAAAAGAATAAGACAAGTATAAATAATTAGAAAATGAAAACTGAGGTAAATAATTTTGTCAACAAAAGATTCCCTTCAATAAATATAAGAAGGAAACATTGTTAGGAGACAGAGTAAAGAGGTCCTTAGGAATCTCCTAATGTTGGGCAGAAGACATTATAATAACCTGAGTTTGGGACGTCAGTCCAGAGGCCATCTCCACAGGTGTGAGATGCCTTTGGGTTTGCTGTAGTACAGCCTGCATAGTGTTTAACATGCTCTGTCTGTCAGGTATTGTATTTTATATTTATCATCTCATCGTATACTTAACAAAATCCTACAAGGCATTATCCCCATTTTTCAGATGAAGAAACTGAGGGCTTTAGAAGTTAAATATTTTAACTATGTTTGCACATTTAGTATATGACGAAAGACTCAGACTCTGAACCACAGTCCAATCCCAAAGCTGGCATTCTTTTCTCTATTATGATAAAAAAAAATGCCACCTAGTAATTTCCTCAGAAATTTGCTTGCCCTTCTGGCCCAACTGTATAGCACAGTTTTCTAAGGCCTGGTAAAAACAGGGAGGAAATGTACAACTGTAAACAAAGGAAATGTGAGAGATCCAAGAAAACAAAATTGATATTGTATAAACAAAGTTAAGACACAACCCAAAACTTAGTTTTCCTAACTGAACAAAAATGTGGGGTAATCCACAAATCAATGTAAAGAAACATATCTATGTAAAATGGATGTATTACAAAATTATAAAGATGATCTTATAATTTACCCAATGGATTCAGTTCTACATGATTATTGAAAAATGGAATGAAAATTATCTAGTAGCTTTATTACCAGTTGATACACACATGTGCATTCCTTTTACAAAGCTAATAAAAATTTCTAAACACTCACTTTAAATAATTCTTGTTTTGAAATGTGCGGTATCTATGTACTGGTGTACCAATTAAGGTGAAGTTCTAATTTAATCCCAAAGATATTAAACTTTTTTTTGTTAAATGCTTTCTAAAGAGGTAATATATTTCTTCACTTGTTTTCGGTATTTCTTAAACACCAGAGTTGTTGGTCTTGGAGGATCATTGCACCAACTCAAAATAGCTGGAAGAAAATACTTATAAATGTACCAAAAAACCCACACATAACACCCTTGAATTTCTGATATATAGGGATCAAATGACTGATAAATTTTAAGTCTAAAATCTGACTGATTTTAACAATAATTCATTAACTTTCAGTCACTGAAAAGACTGTGCTTTTGAAACCTAAAACTTAAGTTTATCACCACAGCTTGTAACAGAAAATATAACACTAGTTCAGAGAGACTGTTCATGTTAACAAGTCAAGGAGTCTTTTCCTGCAGATTATTCAAACGATCGATCCAAACCCTTAAAGGTTATGGTTGATCATGATTGTGAGTAATTAATTGATTCCTAAATACTTCAGACCTTTAGGAATTACTGTAATCTACCATGTCACTCACATGCATGACTACCAAAATGAATGTCTAATACAAATATCAATGCTCTAGTATATTTTATCTACATTTACTGTTGGACTGAAATGTCTAGAAAAGACTATGACAAGTTTGATCACTCGGAATATAATTAATAAATGGCATGAAATACCTGTTCAAAGCACATATGCGAAATAATCACTTGAATATGCTAAAGTTATCTACATAATACTTCTACACTCTTTATGTGTACGTAACACGACAAAGAATTGGCATCACTCAAGATTTTAAAACTGTTAATTTATTATATAGTTAGATACTGTACAATGGTAAACTGTATTAATTTTGGAAAATCTAAGACTATTTGTTTATATTTATACTCATTTTTATTGTAATAGGGTCACTCTTTAAAAGTGCAGAGTTGCAAGTAAAAAGAAACGTAGTTTTGTCCCTGAGCAAGAATGACACGCAAATTCATGAAGTGTTCCATATTTTAATTTTTTTAAAGAAAGAAATGTAGTTTTCTTTGAGATTATATGAATACTGTGGGTTTTAAAAAAGATTTTTAAAGTGTGTTATATATGTTAAAACAAGAAGCACTTAGAAATGAAATTTAATTACCACAGTATTTAATAATCAAGAATAAATTGTCCCTATAATGACTAACTATAATTCCTTTCTAAGTAATGCTGAACACACATGGGGAAGAGAGGAAAGGGTAATAAAAAAAAGTGCAAACGTGATGCTCCATTTGTCATCCTCAGGATAAACATTTGTTAACAGATAAGAAAACAGATGACCACAACAAGTACTTCTTTCCATTTTTAAAACAGAAGTACAACTTTAAGGCCATGTGAGACATATTTAAGTCCTAAATATACTGGTCTTTGCCCCTAGCCACTAGGGGCAGGAATAAAAAGCACAGGGACTTTTTCCGTCAAATAAAGAAAGGAAGTCACTATTTATAGTAGAACTTCAGATTCAATTATTTGATTATTGAACATCTAATATCTAAAAATATGAGCCAAATTCATGATGACTAGTGAGTAGGTCATTAAAGATATTTAGAAGATGGCAAAAGCACAGCTGCTTCTATGCCAAAACATTTATGATAAATCTTTCCTAAATTGAGTGAAGGCTGCATACTTCTCATTGCTTCATTATCTGAAACACTTAAATCTACATTAGGATTACCATCATAAAGTACTTGATATTATCTAAATATATTAATGCAAGGAAAAAACTATGCAAAATATGCCATATTGATTTCCCATTTAAACCAAATTAGTATTTGCATTAAAATACTGAGAATCAAGTAACTTCAGAATTGAAGGAGTGAACACTTCAGTATTTCTTTGTAAAGAAGAAAATACTAAGGTTCTCACAAGTGCTCCAATAAATAAAAATTACACCCAAATCTAAATGATCTTATTCTAACTCCATTCACAAATAAATATGCATACATACAATTTCTAAATATCTGAGGAAATGTTATGTGAGGAAAAATAACATGCATTTATAATTCACAACATTCATTTTTCCCCCTTTCCTTTACAGTAGCTTTAGAAAATTGCTTTTTGATGATTTAGCAAATTTTATTTATTTTTAAAAGAATCTCATTTATTGAGATTGATAATTCCAGGTTTCATTTGCTTTGAAATTGCATTTTCCAATGATAAGTTCTGGCAAAATGTGGTTCCACATGCCAGTGAAATAAAGATTAAAAAAAAAAATCAGTTGACTTACTCTGTAAATGTAGTAATTATCATTCCTACTAAACTCAAAATATGAGAAGACTGAAGTAAAAATTATGATGATAATTTTAACAGCAAATTCTTTAAGAACAAGATAAGTATTTAAATAACATAAAACTATTCATATAAATTTTGCATTTGAAAAATCTTTAAAAATTTTAGTCATTCTCCAAATGTATTTTCCATCTCTGTTATCAGAGATGGACTATTACAAGTCATCAATGCTTATTCAAAAAAAAAATCTTGTTATTCAAACACCAAGTAACTCAAAAGATAAACCAGTCTGATTTATTTTATAGTACTATAATGGAAAGATGGCTCTGAAGCACTACAAAAGAGTCATGTGCCTTCTGAATGATCAGAGCACAATCACGTTCACCTCAGTAGTATTTTAGTACTAAGGGCATTTTAAATGAAAACTAAACCTCTGACAATTTGGCAGAGATGTAATGTCTCAATAGCAACACCTGATCAATCAAAACATTAAAACAGCAATACCAGATACAGAGGAAAAAAACTATAATTTATACAAGAGTATTTCTGGTTCTTGAGGAAGTAGGCAAAGTAAGTTGAACTACCAAAACAAAAGCTTCCAAAATGAACTTATAATGTATTAGCTTATGAAAACCTATGTGCTAGGCCTCAAAAATGGTACCAATAAAAATGGTGTTTAGATAGCATTTTACAAGACAGTATGTAACCAGTTCTATTTTCTTAAACACACCAAAGCGCACACAGAGAAAAACAGACCTATCACTTGATATCTACTGTGTGGATGGGGTTATTATGGTTTTTACAGATCTGCTTATGTAGCCAAGGACCTCTCAGAAAGATATTTAGGAATCCCAACATATATCCAATTAACCAGGAAAAGAAAAGATTCTGGCTGACTTTTTGAATCTCTTCATTTCACATTTTAAGTTATTTTAAAGGAAAAACATTCCATATTAGCATTAGGCAATTAGAAAATTATCTATCCTATCTTACATCACAATCTCAGGATAAAGGCTTTTGCATAGCTATAGTCTCAGAACCAAAACCACCTTCTTATTCCTTCCTTCTGGAGTGTAAAACATAGTTCTAGAGTTAAATCCAAATCTGTTGACATTTAGGGGTACCCACTCTGTAGTATGGCATAGAATGCTTTAGAGAATAACATTCTCACTCAGTATAAAACTCCAAACTGTGAAAACACAAAAAATACATTTCTAAATGGGTATTTCCAGGTAAGGACAGAAAACTAAGTGGCAAAATGAAATGTAATATTGTTACTTATGGTTTATAAGATATACCCTGACAAACTGTGGCCATAAGCCTTTCTTAGGCCAGAAAGGAAGTCAAGCACACTCATTTCTCTACTCTTCCCCATTTCCCGGATAACAAATAGTCTATTTTTTGAAGTGTGAATTCTAGGCATTCAAAACATTATATATAAAAAAACAATTAAGGCTTAATTCTTCTAAAACAGTTACATTTGCTTCCTGCTTAAACCTTCAGTTAAAATAAAAGGCAGTAGGGTTGAAATACATTTTAACAATGCACACAAAGAAATCAAATGCAAAATTAAACATAAAAGATGCATTGTCCTTTTCGATTCTTAACACATACAGCCCTCAAATAGCAAACTCCTGGTTACTTTTTAAAGTAAGTAGATTAAAAACAAGATTAACCAAATGTCCAACTCATGTCAAATCATAGCCTCTACTAGTTAAAAATTCTGTTGGTTGTAAAACTCTGTTGGTGGCCATATTGGCCTAGGATTTTTAATATAAATGAGAGTAGAAATGACAGGGGGTGGGGGAAGGGACATTCTTTCTCGAATAAAGGGGGAAATTTTTATCTAGAATGAGTTATTTGAAAGATGAAAAAGAACATTAAAAGTCAGGCTCTACAAAAATCTGAAAATGTAGCAGAAATGAAAATACAAGAAGTTATATTTTAGCTATATTATTAAACATTTAAAAGCATTCTAAACATTTTTGAAGGAGGTAAAAATATTAACTATTTGAGGAAATTATGTACTTGTTAAGTAAAAACAATATTTTTTTCTTTTTTTCATGGTCTCCAAATTGATAAAGACATTAAATTATATAATTATAGAATCATTAAAACATAGAAAGATGGTGTCACCAGATGGTTGTTATAATATGGATGTTTGTGTATATGTAGTCTTTTTAGTTTTATTAGCATGAACCCTTTAGAATGATGGTCTTTAGCTTTTATTAATGTAGTCGAGTCTAGCTGATTAAAAAGCTATTATATTCATATACAGGTTGTTGAAGATATTTCATTTTATTTTTCTTGAAATTGTTGAAAATAGTGAACACTTCTATAACTTTCTTCTTAGTTCTGAAAGTGTTTTAAGGAATTTTTTATTTGGAATATTTCAAAAGTCCACTTGTAACAATCAACTACACCACCTTTCTTATGTGTTTGAGAAACAATATTCTGTTTAACCTATAGACTTTTTTGGTTTTTAAAGAAAACGACTCCTGGATAAACATTAATTTACTGTTAAAATTTAAGTCGTTCTGTAAATGACCCTCTAGTTGGGAGGCAGATAAAAGCAACTGTAAAGCTCCCAAATATAAACATCTCCAAACTGGATACTAATCATCTTTGCCATCATTTGGGGTAAGAAATATGACAATTTTGGTTAGAAAAAGTAATTAATCAATGCTTAAGTGTAGAAAGCTCCAGAGTTTTAAGCAGACTGGTTTAAATGAATAAGTAGTAACAATTCTAACTGAGGCTTCATTACTTGGTCACTGCGCTGATTGACTCAACATTCATGTGTGAGGGCTACTAGGAGTCAATAGATGGCAGTCCATCGCCTAGTAAAAGAGCTGAAGATGACTAAAATCATCATGCATCTTGTTTTTATTCAAGACTGAATATTGCTTCATTGCATACATTTGGATATTGTCCATATACTGATAATTTAAATAATTACTTAACTATTTTATTTTAGAGACACTGATATATGCACAAGTTCATAAACATGCTAGTTTTATATTTATACTTGCATAGTAAACTCATTATTAATTTCAACTTGATAATTTATAAACTGTGATGGCAACTTCAATATTATTTTAAAAAATTAACCAGGATTCCAGATTGGAACAAACAAAGTTTTCAAATTGAATTTGTTATACCTATAAATAGAATATATTGTAATTCCTTAAAAAGTAAATTTATTTTGTATTATTTTTTCCTAATGATTCTTTTTAAAATTTATGTTTCTGAACAGCTAAAATATTAAGCAAACCTTCAAATATTTCTGTTACATTGAAACAAATTTTTACCCTTTAACTATAGGTATATAAACGAACACAGGTGTAAATAATCAAAAGAGCAGCTTTAAAATCATACTTCCTACACTTCAAGATTGGAATTGTTTAAATTAGGGGAAAAGCTAAAATAAATGCAATGTCAAATCTATAAGGATATTACTTTATACAGTTACAAAGAGTAGCTCTGTCATCTTGAAAAGTATAACATATAATTAGATTCTAATTAAGTTTAGGCTGTAATGATTTCACTATATTATGATAGGATAAAAAAACTGCTACATAAGCACAAACAATGTATTCAGATGAATTACATTTGTAATATATATGTGTAACATACATGGGTATGTATATATTTTTGGGTATAACACTTAAGTTTTTAACAAATCCTAATTTGAGATTTGAGGAATAGTTGAGGAGTTACAGCTTTCTACTGAAAATCTTTAAAAAAATTAAATGGTAATCACAAAATGTGAAAACAAACCACCTTATATAATTTATGGCCTCTTGGGCCTGTGACAGACAGACAGGTAGTTTGAGTCTACTTGTTGGTTTACTTTTTATTTCTCTAAGGAGAATGATAAGAAGTCATGTTTTGAAAGAACTTTGCCCTTTGTATTTTTACAACCTGTCTTTGTGTAAACAAAACTTTTAACTATGCTAAACCTTAAGAAACAATGTTTAACAACTTTTAATTAATATATATTATGTTATATAACTGTAATAATTAAAAGAATAATGGTCTGTTGCTTAGCACAACATATTTAATACAGTAAAAGAAGTGAGTAGTAGGGCTATGGTGAATTACTGAAATGATTTAAGCTGAACATTAAAAGTAAACTAACTTCATAATATTGAGCACCAGTCAATTAGATTCTCTAGCAAACTGTATTTTCTGCTTCTACTTAGCCTAAAATCACAATAAAAGGAAACTAGGAATTGAATAACTTGAATGGTATTAAGCAGATATTTATACATTTTGAATAAGTCAAGAAGGGCTTAAGGATATGACAGTTGAATTATTCTATATGAAATATACACTAAGCTTTTTCTAGGTTCATTGAAAAATATCAGTAACTGTTTTAGTAAAAGCAACTGAAGATACTGTGGACTGAATGCTTGTGGACTGTGGATAATACAACATTTTAAAGACACTGGATTATTACTCTTTAAGGCTCCCAGTATACTTTTTCCCTTTAATTTAATGAATATAGTCTGGAAGACTAAGAGATACCATGATGTAATCATTAAATGATGTGAGTAATAAAAAAATCAAATTCTTTTAAGAACAGGAAGATAGGGTAGGGGGCAGTGGAAAAGAGAAAAAGTGTATTATTGCTTTCTCCGTACAAAAACTCTTCAGATGTTTATTATCTTCCAGCAGAAGATGCTTGTCTATATTTTATGGTCAGCAGTTCAGAGAAGGGTAAATAGGCTAGGTCTTGGGGAAAATAAAAAAGGTGTTTCTACTCACCGTTAGGTGATACTGCCTCCAGATTTCTGTGCAAGCCTGGAAAATAAAAATATTGATCAGCTGGGAGCATGAAACAAGGTACTTTACAGCCTGTTGGTTTTGGCATAACCCAGCATCCACCGGTGTCGGTCACAGGAAAATAAGAAGCTTAACAGAAAGGGTCTGCATTTCAGCTTCAAAAACCTGGCTAGACAGTTTAATTGAATTTTACACTGGTTTAACACACTCCCCGCCATTGTCAGAAAGCCAGTAACAAAGTTTTCTCTCTTTTTCTTTTCAGGTTACAAGTTTTGGGCACTAAGATGTGATAAAGAGCCATAACTCAGTTAAACTGATAAATGAACAGCAGTGGTCAAAATCAATAAAACTCACCAAGTACACCTTTTAAAACAGCATTTTGAACTTTGGTAGTAAGATGGAAAACAATTTAATAGTAACTGCTTTAAGAAGACTTCACTGTTATTACATATTTGTGATAGCTGTTGGCATCTTTTACGGAATCACTTGGTGCTAACTTTTAATACTCTATAAGAAAGAGAATTAAAAACAACAAGAACAAAAACGACTGCAAGAAACTAAAGTCCAAACTGTCTAATCTTTCCATATCCACATCTGTAGCAAAAACAACTTTAAAAATCCCCAAAACGTCGATAATCTTGTAAAAGATATACTAATTGAAACTAGAATAGGTAACAACAAAAGAACCAACCAAACAAGCAAATATAAACAATAGCAGGAACAACAAAAACAGTGATTAGAATATATTTTCTTACGAACACATATATAAATCTTCTTATGCCTAAATTATGACCTTGTTAAGGACACTTTTTCTAACCAAGCTGCTTATGTATAGTTGATCAGTTTACCATCTTCTCAGGAGCAAAAAGTGTGTTGTTTGTAACTATATAAATGGTTGGAATAAATTAAAACACCAAGCAAAGGAAATGGTGATTCTTAAAAGCGAATGGAAATTTATAGCTTTTGTTTATAGATGCATGCCTAAAATTAGAGTAAGACTTTCTGAAATCTTTGTAATTTTTGATACCTAGTTTGAAACAACTCTTTACTTGATTTGTCATTCCTCTTTCATTTATTTTTCAAAGTATTGATAAGACTAACAAAGGTAATTCATACAATCTGAAAATATCATGGCTATGATAATAATTTAAGAAACATTTGAATGCCAATACCTCTACTGATTATACCACCATAAGTGATTAGACAAAAAAGTAGATATGTTTCAACTATGCTGAAACATATCTATGCTGAAAAATTTTATCCTTTACGCATTTTAACTTTCCTGTGTAATTTCCTATAGAAAGCTGTGTAGACTGCTCCTATAGAAAGCAGTCTACACAGCTTTCTATAGGAAAGACTGTTTAGTGGTCAGCTTTCCAGTTTTAATATCAAATTCCTGGAAACTAAAGTGTCTTACTAAAAAAACCCACTTATTATATCCAGTCATTTCTGGATGAACAACACTGATGAAAAGACAACTATTTTTAAAAAGTAAAAGGTTGATTCATAAGGCAAAGATCATGTTAGTTACCAAATGTAGCCACAAACTTTGTTACAAAAGTTCTTAAGAATATATACAAGAAATATCTATTTTTATAAACATGTATACACACAAATATCTAATGTACAATATATCCTTAAATATTCATTTCCTACCTTCTATCATAAGCTTTTTGCTGTGTATATATAATTTGAGTTGGATTATTGTAGAAATAAGCAAGCAGTTATTTATACATTAGTTATGGATAGTTCTTGATTACCACAGTGTCCTCAGAATAATACGGTTGAAAAATCGCAATCACTGAGTTGTCATACACTGGCAGAATGCCACTCTACCATGTGACCTTTTCTTGTGTTGCAGCAATTTAGTAATAAAAGAAAGAATTACTTGGTTTTTGAACAATCATCTGATTGCTCTGTACATGAAGATGATGCCCAATATAGAAAATTAGTAGTGAGAGACATGAAACTTCTTTTCATTTATTAGACAATAGTATTGTAATTTTTAAAAACTCCTACTTGACTGTCTCATAAGTATTTTTACTCAACATTCTCATGCATAGTTTCATTTTGCTATTTTTTGTAATACTTATTTATATTTGAGGTTAAAAAGTAAACAAATATTTTTCATTTCAAACTAGGTGTCAATATAAGGCACACATCTTTATTTATATCTATGTATCATCAATGAATTTTTAAAACCCTAATTTTTCTTTTTGCTTATTATGGCTTCAACTTCTTTTTACCATTCCCTAGTCGTTGCACGTATTTTTCTTCTTATCAAATAGAATGCCATGGCACCCAAATGTATGTATCTATTGCATGGAAAATTATATACCTATTGCATAAAATAAAGTAATTTCTAAAGCAAGAAGCCTACTATTACAACTAACTTTGGTCTAATTAAAAAAATACTTAAAATGAATTACTAGTCAGCTGTGGAACTCATCTAAGATGCAAATTCAACAAACTATGAAAATACAATTGCATTTATTGGTTACCCTGGTGATCTCACCTTACTGGTACTTAGATGGATGGCAACCCAAAGGGCCTCCTCAAATCACACAACTGAAAACATACAAAGTGTACTTGTACATCTGTTTTAGCAATGTGCTACATTGTTTGCCAACTTCTGCCCAACTAGTTTTCCCGTCTATTGTATTTTGTATAATAAACCATACATAAATCAGTGTTATTATTCATAAAATTCAAAGATGAATCAACACAGTTTGCCACACCAGATGAATTGAGAGTTTATATTGTGCATTTTGACCCATATTGAATTTTATCAGGTGCTAATTATTGTTTTACGAGAACAACGGCTTAGTGCATCTGTTGTTTAATTCCCACTTCCCTATTCTCAAATGTGAACATCAAAGAAAATAAAACACTCAATCTTAAACAGCCCCTGACAGCAGACCAAGACTCAAGTGCTCAATAGACAAGGCCCTTGCCACCAGTTCTCATATTTCCACAACAATGAACAAACACAAAAACAGCACTAAGCGGCCTTTCCTCCTCCTCAGCTCCCCTTGGCCAGTTGTCTGCCTTGTACTAGAGAGAGCCCTTGAACGCAGCCCTGCTGGGAACACAGCACAGGAGAAAGGATTAGCCTTACTAACATGCTAGCATTTGCAAAAGGGAAGAAAAAAACCCCCAATACTGTATTTGGTATATGAATAACCAAAATGTATGAGCTGACAAGAGACCAGGACAGGCCTGTGGCTCCCCGGGAGAAAATGTAGCTGTGATGAGTGACAGGGCTTTCAGGAAATATGTTCACAATCACAGACAGTGAAGGCCATGACCTAGATCGTTTAAGAGCTTGTCTTGTCAAATTATCAAAAGCTTCTTCCTCTCTGAATAAAGAGTGACATAAGTGAGTGTCAGAAAGCTGCAGGCTGACAAGCCAAGCATACAATAACAGAATGCACGTCACATACATGCTGAACACCGCCACTGCTAGCGGCAAATCTTAATGAGAGCGCGGCCAGCCCAGGAGACTTGGGTCCCTGCTGGCACAGCTACTCATCTCACAAAAATCCTTCAGCTCCAAGTCAGTTAGGCTCTGACACGACAACTACAATTACGAAACACAACTTTTTAACAGAATCCTCTGGTGCTTTGTCAAAGCCTCTGTTGTTAGGAGATGGCCCCCTCAAGTCACTACAGCAAAACAAAAGATTTAATAAAACAAACAATATTCATTGATAGTGAATAACATAAATAAAGAATAAAGAGAATAATTCAGTTTAAAAATTGTTGAATGAAAACACATGGCAAGAAAACCATTCTAGTCTCTGGACTCAACCACCATCTTAACTGTTCCATATGCACACAAATATAAGTTTAGGTGCCTTTATTAAAAAGAACGCCCCTACTCTGAAGCCTCAAGACCAGGCTCTTCATAGACTTATAGCTACCAAGTCATCTGATTGTCCCGATACTTTGGTAATCACTGGCATATACACTATTCCTCAGCTACACAAAATATTTTTGTATCCTATTGTACATATACTTTGAGTATACGTGAAATATAATTTCTCCTAGAAGGAAAATTTTGAAAAGAACATCCTAGCATTTGCCGTCAATCAAAATTCCACATAAAGACTGCTCTGAGGTCTGAAATCATAGAAATATACAATTAAGATTCAAGACAAGTTACTGTCTTAATAATGCTTATTATACTTCTATTCTGCATGAAAATTTGCCATTCTTGATAAAGAGGAGCTACAAACATACAAGATGTAAGTGGCAATGTGTATAAAATCTACATAATTTTTTTAACCAATCGGTATGGAAAGCCATGCATTGGTCTTTAACTCTAAGCTGCCTCCAAGATGAACCAGACTTCATAAAATCATCTTTCCACCCAAGGTCAAATTTTAATCAATTCCTATACTTTTAATCCTCTGTAATCAGGGAAACTGACAAGCTTAATTTCTGGCTCAAAGATTTTTCTCTTTGATATTCTCCTCCTAACTTAAGTACAGTTATGAAGGCACAAAGTTTATCAGTAGATTACATTTCAAGGTTAATTTCACAAATAGTTGCTAATATTTGTAGTAAATCTGCTGACTGATGACCTAAGGTAATGTAAAGTAAAACCTTGTAAGAGCTAGTAAAATGTAGCATGATAATGTAGCAGCTAAAATCAGAAAATCCAGAGCAAAAATGGCTGGATTCTAATCCAGCTATTTACTATTTTGGGCAAGTTATATATCTCTGTGTCTCAGTTTCCTCATAGGTAAAACGGGGCTAACAGTACCTCCTCAAAGGATTGTTGTGATATTTAAGGGGTTGATAAGTATAAAGTCTTTAGAGCAATGCCTGACATATAGCAAGTGCTCCACTGTATTAACTATTGTTATGACAACATCAATTTGGCACTCCCCATACTGCTGATGCAGAAATAAATAATGGAAATATTGGCATCAATAAAGTAGCTGAAATAAATGAATCTACTGTACCAAGGTCAACTCTTGGATGTGCCCAAACCTAGAAGAAACTCAGTTTAGGTGACCTGTTGATAAAGACATAATAGAGGAAAAAATAAAACAATGAACAAAATGAATAAAATACAGATTTTATTAGACTACAGCTGTTTGTGGCCACCTTCTTAAAAAAATTCAGAAACATCAATAAGCATCTAGTATGTGCAATGTACCTATTTTTACATTCAGCCGAAGTCTACTCGATGTTTTTAGTTGTTAAAAAAAAATACTGGATCAGATAATCCTGATGTTGTATTTTATATTAAAATTCTGGAATACAAAAATCTTAAAATACCTTGGTCATTGATGAAAAAGAAAAGTACACTATTCTGAAAGTTAAGACAACTTTCTTTAATTCAACTCAAACTTATGTATTCCTTTTTTCTATGCTTAAACATTGTTTAATGGCCCCAGCTTCCTTACTAGCCTTTCCTCCTCTTTTGGGGGGGTTTTAAGATTAGTCAAGTGTAGTAGTGAGAAGGGGGGAAGCAGTAGAACAAGGAGTTCGATCTGCAACTGACTGTTAACAACCAAGTGAGATAATTCATTACCTTCAAACCAGACCTGAGGGCTGGGTAAGTGGAAACCAGGAAGAACATGTAGATGTAGATCCCTATAATTCTGGGAACCATCTAACTGGTTTGGTAGTGAATACATAGTCCATGTGCACGATGGATGGAAGAGAGGTCTTACTTCCTGCTTTCTAGTACCTTAACTCTTTCTGAGTTCCTGTCTTCATAACTTTCAGCTCACTCAGATATCCCATTTCTTAAAAAACAAAAAAATCCCCTGAAAAACAAAAATAAAAACTAATGTTGATGGCATCCCTCCATTACAACTGCCATGAGTGATTTCATTGTCCCTTTGGTATTGGAATAATGAAATCTGAGCGCTGACATCCTGAGAAAATTGTAAACTAAGTCTGCAAAGGTTCTATACTATACTGTTTCTTTAAGTATACTAGCAGGAACCAGAAGTTTTAAACTAGACTCAAAAGAGGTAAACTAAAGGTAAATTAGTTTCACTTTATTTTATTTTATTTTTATTTATTTATTTAGAGACAGAGTCTTACTCTGTTGCCCAGGCTAGAATGCAGTGGTGTAATCATAGCTCCCTGCAGCCCTGATCTCCTGGGCTCAAGCAGGATTCTCTGACCTCAGCCTCCAGAGTAGTTAGGACTACAGGCATGGACCACAGTGCTTGGCTAATTTTTCATTTTTTTGTAGAGATGGAGTCTCACTATGGTGCCTAGGCTGGTCTCAAACTCCTGGCCCCAGGCGATCTTTTCACCTTGGCCTCCCAAAGGCTGAAATTATAGGAATAAGCCTTGGCACCCAACCTGGTAAGATAATTTTAAAGTGAAAGTTTAGAACTTTACTTATAAACCAATTATAGGCCAGGAACAGTGGTTTATTTCTGTAATCCCAGCACTTTGGGAGACTGAGGTGGGAGGATCACTTCAGGCCAGGAGTTTGAGACCAGTGTGGGTAACAGCGAGACCCCACCTCTACTTAAAAGGAAAAAGAAAAAAAGGTGGCCGGGAGTGGTGGCTCATGCCTGTAATCCCAGCACTTTGGGAGGCCGAGGTGGGTGGATCACGAGGTCAGGAGATCAAGACCATCCTGGCTAACACGATGAAACCCCATATCTACTAAAAATACAAAAAATTAGCCGGGTGTGGTGGCACGCGCCTGTAGTCCCAGCTACTTGGGAGGCTGAGGCAGGAGAATCGCTTGAACCCAGGAGGCGGAAGTTGCAGTGAGCCGAGATTACGCCACTGCACTCCAGCCTGGGCAACAGAGTGAGATTCCATCTCAAAAAAAAAAAAAAAAAAAGAAAAAAGAAAAAACCCAATTATATAAACTCCATCATAAATAACAAATACTTAATAGAGCAAATTGTTTAAAACCACCAAATCCAATCCTAATTCACCTTAGTTAACTACATTAAACTCCTTCTATGTACAATCATGCCCTGTCATCCAGTTCTAAATCTCATGGAATGCTCTTGGGGAAATTATCTTTTCCTCTTCTCCCAAGATGTTGATAGCATCCAGCTTATGTCAGATACACAAATAATCATCCTTAGGTCTGATGTTGTAGTAAGACAATACCTTTTTTTATAATTCCAAGAGAGGCAAAATACTTACAACTTAAATACACATAAATCTAACTATGTAGAGAACATGTATAGTTAAAACTACAAAAATCTGATAATGGAGGCTAAAGGAGTTCTAGATAAACAGAGACATACCATATTCATGGATTGGAAGACTCAATACAGTGGAGTCAACTCTCCCTACAGTAGTCTATAGACTGGAACACAACTGTAATCAAAATCCTATCAGAAATTATTGTAAGTACAGACAAGGTGATTCTAGAATTTACATGAAGGGGGAAAGGAATTAGAACAGCAAAAGTTATTTTGTAAAAAATAACCGAAGTTGGCCAGGTGCGGTGGCTCATGCCTCTAATTCCAGCACTTTGGGAGGCCAAGGTTGGCGGATCACCTGAGGTTAGGAGTTCGAGACCAGCCTGGCCAACATGGTGAAACCCTGTCTCTACTAAAAATATAAAAATAAGCTGAGTGTGGTGGTAGGCGCCTGTAATCCCAGCTACTCAGGAGGCTGAGACAGGAGAATTGCTTGAACCCAGGAGACGGAGGTTGCAGTGAGCCAACACAGTGCCACTGCACTCTAGCCTGGGCAACAGAGTGAGACTTGGTCTCAAAAACAAAACAAAAGCAAAAGTTTAAGAAATCTCACTATGTATTTTAAGACTTACTATAAAACTATAGTAATCAAGACCATATGGCATTGGCAACAAGACATATACATACATCAGTGCAACAAAATAGAGCACAGGAATCAATCCATGTAAATATGGCCAATTGACCTTTGACAAAGATGCAAAATCAATTCAGTTGAGAATGGAAAGTCTTTTCGACAAATGGTGTTAGAACAATTGGTCAACCATATGTAAAGAAAACAAAATGAACCTTGATCTAAACCTCACATTATACAAAGTTTAACTCAAAATAGATAACAGATCTAAATATAAAAGTAGAAACATCTGAAAGAATACACAGGAGAAAATCTTCTGGCTGGCCATGGTGGCTCATGCCTGTAATACCAGCACTTGAGGCCAAGGTAGGCAGATCGCTTGAGTCCAGGAGTTCAAGACCAGCCTGGGCAACAAAATGAAACCTCATTTCTACAAAAAACAAAAGTCAGACGAGCATGGTGCCACGTGCCTGTCGTCCCAACAACTCAGGAGGCTGAGGTGGTAGGATCACTTGAGCCTGGGAGGTGGAGGTTGCAGTGAGCCGAGATTGCACCACTACACTCCAGCCTGGGGGACAGAGTAAGACCCTGTCTCAAAAAACAAAAACAAAAAACTGTGTGATCTGGGGTTGGGTAAAGAGTTCAAATTTATAAGTTGGACTTCATTAAATTTAAAAACTTCTGCTCTGCCTGAGAACCGTCAAGAAAATAAGAAGACAAACTATGGACTAGAAAAAAATATTTTGAAATCACATACCCAACTGAAGACTTATATCCAAAATACAGACAGAACTATCAACAGCCAATAAGAAGAAAATTAACACTCATTAAAAATTAGGAAGGGATGTTAATATTTCACCAAAGAAATAAGGATGATAAGTGCGTGCATGAAAGGATATTCAACATTATTAGCCATTAGAAAATGCAAACTAAAACTACAATAAGATAGACAGTATACATCTATTAGAATGACTAATATAGAACTCGCAAATAAAGATCAATAGAAATAAAAAGCAAAAAATGATAAAACATCTATAATTCCTGACATAACAAGAGCAAATATTTTGGAATATTTTACTCTTTTTTTTTTTTTTTTTTGAGACAGAGTCTCACTCTGTTGCCCAGGCTGGAGTGCAGTGATGCGATCTTGGCTCACTGCAACCTCCACCTCCTGGGTTCAAGTGATTCTCTGACTTGTGATTCTCCCACTTCAGATTCTCCTGCCTCAGCCTCCCAAGTAGGAGGGATTATAGGTGTGCGCTGCCACGCCTGGCTAATTTTTGTATTTTTAGGAGAGACAGGGTTTCAACATGTTGGCCAGGCTGGTCTTGAACTTCTGACCTTAAGTGATCTGCCCGCCTCGGCCTCCCAAAGTGCTGGGATTACAGGTGTGAGCCACCACACAGGGCCCACTCAAACTTTTTTCTATGCAAATCTACATATATAGAAACACACACATATATATAGAAGTCTAATTATACTTCACATACTGTTTTGTAATCTGTGTGTTTTACTTAATGTACTAGCAACTTATTTATATTTCAATATCATTTATATATATAAAATATATATATTTTTTGAGATGGAGTTTCGTTCTTCTTGTCCAGGCTAGAGTGCAATGGTGCAATCGCGGCTCACTGCAACCTCTGCCTCCCAGTTTCAAGCGATTCTCCTGCCTCAGCCTCCCAAGTAGTTGGGATTACAGAGCCCACCACCATGCCCAGCTAATTTTTGTATTTTTAGTACAGATGGGGTTTCACCATGTTGTCCAGGCTGATCTCGAACTCTTGACCTCAGGTGATCCACTGCGCCCGGCCTTTTATATCATTTTCGAAACGGCTGAATAAATCCCATTATATGACTATATTGTAAGGCAAGTCATCCTCATCGTCAAATATTTGGGTTGCATCTAGTATTCATTATTATTAACAACTTTGATATAAACATTCTTATAGCTATATCTTTGCAACTATACATCACTGAATTCCAGAAAGCCCATCCAAATGTACTTTAATAGTACAGCTTCCCTAACATTGGGTATTATTATTTTCCTTTCTTTATATTGATTTGTAAGAGCTTTTTATATATTACAGATAATTGTGCCATCATACATATTACAAAAATCTTTCCCAAACCATGGTCTGCCAATTACTTTTGTTAAAGGTCTCTTTGGATAAACAGGCTTTTTTGGGGGGGGTCGGGGGGAGTGGGGGAGGCAGTTAAATCTATAAGAGTGTTTAATCTACTATGAAAATGTTTATTGTTATAATTGATGTATTTGGTCTGATTTTTCTCATTCTTTATGCTTTTTGTTTTTTATACTTTCTTGCTCCCATTTTCTCCCATAATGTTATACTACGTGAGTTTCCTTTGTCTTACTTTTCTTCTGATTATTGAAACAAATAACCTTTTATTTTACTGAAATTACCTATAAACCACATTACTATAATTTAAAAAATAAAATTTGCTCTATTTATATTTTTCTGTCTTTTTTTGAGATGAACTCTCACCATGTTGCCTGGGCTGGTCTTGAACTCCTGACCTCAAGCAATTCTGCTGCCTCAGCCTCCTGAGTAGCTGCAACTACAGGCAGGTGCCACTGCACCCAGGAAATACTTATATTAAGTTAAAAAACAGATTATCAAGAAGTATTCAGACACATATTCCAGGCTTTCTTGCTTTCACTGTTCATTGTTGCTAATTTTTTTCTCTGACTTTTCCCTTAAATTCACAAATGAGCAACAGATTGTATCATCTTTTTTCCTCAGAATCTTCTAGGCTTTAGAGATTTCTCCATTACTTTTCAGCATTTAGTACTATACAGGAGAAGTCTGATGTGAATCTGATTTGTGTGTTTTTCTCTCTGGATATTAGTATAATTTTTGTTTGACATTCAGAAATTTCACTATGGGTCTTTTTCTCACTCAAATTGAGTGTGAACTATTTTGTCCATAATTTTCTTCATCATTTTGCTCAGCAGTGCTTTTCGTCTGTCTTCTCTATTCACATTATCTGTGAAGAAAGAGTTAGGATTTTCCCAAGTTTCCTATTTTCTACAAACAATTCATTTCATTTGGAGACATCTCTGATTATTATTATTTTTTTTGATCTACCAATTCTTTATATATGCCTGCAATTTTTTTTCTATTGGTATATTAAAAAAAAAAAAAAAGAGGCTTATGTGAAATCCCACCAGTACTGGCAGCTCAGGTGGTATTTGCCAAGCACTGCATAGGTCTCTGATCAACTCATTTATGGAAAACTTGAGAGACCATCAAGTTTTGGTTTGTTAAGAACAGGGAAAGAGTTACAATTACAGAGACCTGTGAAGAGCTGTTTTAAATCACTGGACATTGTTATCTATACCATTAAAAGACCCTTCCATTGTGCCAAATTCTTATAAGAATAAGGTTCTTGGCTGGACACATTGGCTCATGCCTGTAATCCCAGCACTTTGGGACGCTGAGACGGGCAGATCACTCGAGGTTAGGAGTTCGAGACCAGCCTGGACAACATGGCGAAACCCCATCTGTACTAAAAATAGAAAAAGCAGCTGGGCAGGGTAGTGCGTGCCTGTAGTCCCAGGTACTATGAAGAGTTGTTTTAAATCACTGGATATTGTTATTTATACCATTAAAAGACCCTTTCATTGTGCCAGATTCTTATAAGAATAAGATTCTTGGCTAGACACATTGGCTCATGCCTGTAATCCCAGCGCTTTGGGAGGCTGAGGTGGGCAGATCACTTGAGGTTAGGAGTTCGAGACCAGCCTGGACAACATGGCGAAACCCCATCTGTATTAAAAATACAAAAAGCAGCTGGGCATTGTAGTGCGTGCCTGTAGTCCCAGGTACTTGGGAGGCTGAGGCAGGAGAATCACTTGAACCCAGGAGGTGGAAGTTGCAGTGAGCCAAGATTGCGCCACTGCACTCCAGCGCCACTGCACTCCAGTCTGGCAACAGAGTGAGACTCTGTCTCAAAAACAAAAAACAAACAAACAAAAAGGAACCCTTTTTTTTTTTTTGAGACTGAGGAAGACGTGGCTCAATTTTTAAATTATTTCATCCAGTGTTATTCTAAACTTTTACTTTTTTAAGTCCATTATATTTTAGACAGGAACCAGTTCATCACCCTTGCTACCCACTACTACCTTCCCTGGTTTAGGGATGCTTATATAGAACTTTTACCTTTCCTTTGCATTTACCTATAGGTAAAAGTTCTATATAAGCATCCCTAAACCAGGGATGACAGGGTGAGAGAGAAAGGTTTAATATTGAGACCCTGTAGCTTACTTTAGAATTTTTTCCTGCTACATTAGAACTGGTTCCTGTCTAAAATATAATGGGCTTAAAAAAGTAAAAGTTTAGATAACACTGATGAAATAATTTAAAAATTGAGCCATGTCTTCCTTTATATCTGAAACTACCTCACCGTAATGATTAGTGTTCTTAGGATGTATATTTTTCTGGTAATATCCATGATTACAGAGAGAATTATTTTTATGTTCTATAACTAAAAGGCTGATTAGCTCATAATATTTATTATTATATAATTTGCTTGAGTGTCTTGAACTTCTCAAAGTAGTTTAGTATTGCTTATGATTTTTTTTATCAAGTCAACAATTAGTAGAATGCCTTACAACAAACGAAGATCACGCTTACTATTAAACTGAAATCCTGCATAATTATCTTACTCTCTTTTTAAAACAAATGAAACAATACAATAAAAATACAAATAAAGGCAAGCTAATTGTGTTTCTCAGCCCTCTTTTCTAACCCAATCCCAGTCTGATGAGGAAAAGCAATGTTAAGAGCCTGGTATGTATACTTTATCCCATTTATCATTGTTTATATATGTATATATATACACACACAAGCATATACATGTAGATTATGCAGAGCTCATTTTCTTTTTTTTTTTTTAACTGAAATATAATCATTCTACAGGCATTTGTAAGTTTTCAAGACGAACTGTGTGTACCTTTTAGATGGCATGCCTAATTATTTTAACTAGTAGACAACTGAAGAAAACAGCTGTTTTTTCAAGATGAATAACTGCATATTGGGTTCGACCAGATCATACCTAGGATTGATTAGTACAACAAAATCATACACAGAATTGATTAGTATGCTGGCAAACAGATCCCTATAAGTAAGTCTTTGAATAGTTTTAGAGGTTAAAAAGCTTTCCCAGTTGTGTACATTGCTTCACTGCTGTGTAATTTGAGGGAGATTTTCAAAACCCAATCAGAAAGCTGTCTGGAATGTATACTTTTTTTTTTTTTTTTTTTTAAAAGAGATCGGGTCTTGCTATGTTGCCCAGGTTGGACTTGAACTCCTTTGCTCAAGTGATCTTCCTGCTTCATCCTCCCACGTACTAGGACTATAGGCAACTCCCACCACATCCAGGGATCTATAAAGGTCAGCAGCACTGACCTTATTCTGTAAGATTTGGTGAATCTTTTAGCCTTAGAGTTGTTAATGAGGATCTTATTTTCACTCTCAATTCATAACTCAGATAATTATGTCCCAGAATTTGTTCGTATTAGTGGATTTAATAGTAAAATTCAAGTCTACATGATGGACTTTTATACCTGGATTTAGTTTTAAAAAGGGGTGGCATATAATAAGTTTGAAATTTAATAAAATTCTTAGTGGCCTTCTGCTTTATACATCAGAGACCTGTGTCTTCCCAAATGTGATTGGACTGAAGAGTAAGTCAGTCCATTCCTCAGTGCCATAAGATTCTCAGTGAAAAACTAAAGTTTATTTATCCTTTAATGTTGAGAGCTTATAAAGTTTATAAAGGCAGGCTAGAAGTAGACAATATTTCCCTTCCTTTGATGAAAGGTAAGGGTCTGCAGAATGGGAATTATCTCTATCTTCTACACATTTATTCTTACATTTTCTATAAAGACAAGATAAGCTTGCTAGTAAGCTGCTAAGTCCACTCAAAGTGACTAATACTAGACAAGGAGGTATGTACTATACGGAGAGTTGAAAAGATTGGAGGAATTTTCAGGTTACTTAGAAATGACTAGAAAGGAAACCATTTAGTACAATTTAAAATAAGAACTGGTTTCTCCTTCAAACTTTAAATGTGCTAAGTTATACACTGTATTAGTCCATTTTGACATTATTATAAAGAATTACCTGACACTGGGGTAATTTATGAAGAAAAGAGGTTTAACTGACTCAAGTTCCACAGGCTTAACAGGAAGCATGGCTGAGGAGGCCTCAGGACACTTACAATCATGGTGGAGGTTGAAGGGGAAGCAAGCACCTTCACGTTGGCAGGAGAGAAAGAGAGCAAATGAGGGGCAGGGTGCCATACACTTTTAAACCATCAAATCTCATGAGAACTTACTATTGCAAGAACAGCATGGGGGAAATCTGCCCCCATGATCCAATCACCTCCTACCAGGTCCCTCCCTCAACATTGGGAATTACAATTCGACTTGAGATTTGAGTGGGGACATTGAACCAAACTGTACCATATGCCTTCAAGTTTAAAATGTAGAACATAATTATTTACATAAGGTCACATACATTTGCAACCATGAAAATTTCAGATATTCATTTATTAGGTGGCTTGGTAACAGTTCCAATAAATTATTAATTCCTGATTTTGGGATTTACTCCCTGAACAATGAACATGTATGCGATTTTCACTAACATTATCGTGAGTTTTGTGTACATCAAGAAGACAGGAGGAGACCTTCAAGTATAGAAATCAACTTAACTTTCTTGAAGTAGTCTGATCTCTCAGTTAAATAAACATTTGGTAAGCCTATACAACAATTTTGTAAGACAATCAATCAATTGCAGCCTGCCCTCTTGCTCCAATATTACCTATAAATAACATTAAAATGTTGAGAAAAGTGGGTGGAACAAAGTACATATATCTAACCAAAGTCTGATTTTCCTATTTCCAAAGGTAGGTGTAATGCACACTGTCAGCAGAACTACATATTTATCTGAAAGTACATACCAATCTATCACGATAATATAATTCTAGTGTTTTAGTTTTTTCAGAGATGAGTTTTTCTTTTCCCCTTCATTCCTTCCTCACATCGTGATTTTACACATCTAAGTTACTTTGTTGGGGAGGCGGCATTTTAATTTTAATTATTTATTCTTATTTATGCATTCTCATTTTCATTAAGTAGATTTGAATATATCAGTGGTTTCTCTTCAAATAAGTTGAGCAGGGAAATTAGCTTGTTCATGATTATTTGCTATCTGAATCTTAATTTTATCATTTCTTAAAAAAATGTTTTTTGTAGATATAGGGTCTCACTATATTGCATAGGCTGGTCTCTAACTCCTGGCCTCAGGCAGTCCTCCAGATTTGGCCTCCCAAAGGGCTGGGTTGTGGTTACTGGCATGAGCCACTGCGCCCAGCCCTCTATATTATTTCTTAAAACTGCATGTGAATCTATAATCATGTCAAAATAAAAAGACACAGTTACTTGGCTCCCTTCTTAGGTCTACGTCACACTTTCTACATTTTCTAGGTATGCATCATCTGCAAGTCACTAAGTTTAGAGTCTTCTAAGACTCTTTTATTTATCACCACCCTGATGTACTTTCACATTACACTTTACACTGTTCTTAACACACCCACCTTTCCTATTATACTCTGAGTTCCTCAAGGGCAGGGATCATGTTTTATTCATCTTTTTTTCCCCTAGTACTTGGAATACTGTCTGGCATATAAGAGGCAACCAGCAAATTTTTGCTAAATGAACAAATGTAGAAAGTTTATTTGGGTGGTAGAACACTGGAGATGTTTTTGAATAAAGGTAGAACCGCCATTACACAAAATATGTGAATTAAGCAAGTCTTTAAATTCAAATCTTGGCTTAGTTATTCAGCACAATAATATGTTTCAGCCATTCTTATTTCTGGCCAGTCATATCTGAGTAAGACTGTGGAAAGGATAAGGGGAGGAAATCATATGAATACTACTCAGTGCTCCTTGGAGTACACTAAAAATAAAATAAATACCTGTTTCTTAAATAATTACCTTTACAAAAATAATGCTCTAGTAACTCTCCATTCTGGATTTGACAAGTATGAAATGATTTGTACTAGATGCTTTGTATTTCCTGCTGGAAATCTCCAAGTTTAATAAAAATCTAAATAAAAGACATTAGTTTTCAATTTTACATATATATTTATTGAAGAAACATCATTGAGCACTCACGTGTATGTTAAATACTACACAGTTTAAACTGAGTTCTCCTTAAAATAAACTTTTGCACTGTGAAAAATATTGTAGTATATGGCTGATATGGGAGCATTTTTCTAGCATCAAAAAAGTAAAAAGGCCGGGCGCAGTAGCTCACGCCTGTTAACCCCAGCGCTTTGGGAGGCCAAGGCGGGCAGATCACCTGAGGTCAGGAGTTCGACATCAGCCTGGCCAACATAGTGAAACCACACCTCTACTAAAAATACAAAAATTGGCCAGGTGTTGTGGCTCATGCCTGTAATCCCAGCTACTTGGGAGGCTGAGGCAGAATTGCTCGAATCTGGGAGGCAGAGGTTGCAGTGAGCCGAGATCACACCTCTGCACCCTGGGCGGCAGAGTGAGACTCTGTTTCAAAGATAAAAATAAAAATAAATAAATAAAGGAATCAAGTGAAATATGTTCTATGAATTATTTTCTCCCACTGTATTAAAAAATCAGACTTTAACAGTTATTTAGCATGGACTGGGATAACACACTGAGCAGGGAATTTGAGAAAAAAATTGCTGAATAAAGGTAGGAAATTTAGGAGGTTTGGGTTTTGATTATATCTGACACTGACTAACTCAGTCATTATGCTTTAATAAAAAAGGATGGCAATCTGAACAATTAATAAAGATTGCTGAAGCTGCAATGGTCTCTTGTGAGCAGTAAAGCTCTATGGTATCACAGAATTGGCTCTGTATCTGAAAATCAACATTCTATACTGCTTTCTTGATCCCCAGGGGTTTTTTAAAGTGCTGACAACCTAAGGTAAAATTTATTTTTGTTTGGAAAATATTTTTCTTTATGTGTTTTATAATATATTGATTTTTTTTTTTTTTTTTTTTTAAAAAGAGAGAGTCTTACACTGTCACCCAGGCTGGAGTGCAGTGATGTGATCACAGCTCACTGCAGCCTTGATCTCCTGGGCTCAAGCAATCCTCCCATCTCAGCCTCCCGAGTAGCTGGGACTACAGGTGCGTGCCACCCTGCCTGGCTAATTTTTAAATTTTTTTTTTGGTAAAGAGTGGGAGTCTCACTATGTTGCCCCAATGTCATGAGTGTTATATTAAAGTTGCTTATTAGAGCTATAATATCTGCATATTTAAGAAAGAAAGTTGAGAGATCCTCCGAGTAGGAGATAAACTGATGATTCCTTGATTGCCAATATGTAAGCTTTCTCCACATAGTCATAAAGTATAGCATCATTTTAGCTTTTAGACCTTAGACTTATTAACCTTGTAATGTCTCAGTTTTCAGTTTGTAAAATAGGAGTAATAAATAGTACCTACACTTCATATCCTGCTTATGAGGATTAAATCTACTGAACACCTACTATATGCTAAGGGCATAGTGGTGAATGAAGCACTCCTCCAGCACAGTAAACACACAATTATGTATGGCTGTTGTTATCTTGGAAATGTCAGAGATAGCTCACAGAATAGGTTTCTGTGTGCAAGCTAAAGGTATACAGACATTTAAAAATTCTCTGTATATTTAAAAATTGTTGGCAAGTGAGGAGAGAAACTATAGCAGATTCAGAAACAGGATTCTTTCCATAATCCAGGTTCTTGTCTTCTGAAAGGGACTAATGATGCAGGTTGACTTTAGTAGGCCTTGAGCCATCTTTTTATCCTTCACCTCATAAAACTCTGGAATTTCAACCAAATACTTTTACAGAAGTAGTTAACCAATGAGCAATTTCCAACAGATTTTAGGAAAAAGCTTTTCATTACAGAAAGGATTTGAATATGACTCGACAGTTTTCACTACAAATTCTCTTTGCATACATATATCTGGTAATCTGGCCAAACAGAGGTCTAGGTGTGTGACTATGGGAATATATAAAGTAAAAGGGCAAGTTTCTTTCATTTTTTTTTTTTTTTTTGGAAACAGTCTCACTCTGTTGCCCAGGCTGGAGTTCAGTGGTGCAATCTCGGCTCACTGAAACCTCTGCGTCCTGGGTTCTAGCAATTCTCATGCCTCAGCCTTCCCAGTAGTTGGAATTACAGGTGTGCACCACCACACTCAGCTAACTTTTGTACTTTTAGTAGGGATGGGGTTTTGCTGTGTTGGCCAGGCTGGCCTCAAACTTGTGGCCTCAAGTGATCTGCCTACCTCGGCCTCCCAAAGTGCTGGGTAACAGGCATGAGCCACCACGCCCAGCCTTGGAAGTTTCTCAATATCGTCAATTTATAAAAGGTTAGAAATCCTCTGTGAATGAGCAGAAAGTCCAGTAGGTGGGAAGATGAAAATGACAAAGAATGGTAGAGGATAGTATTGCTAGAGGGTATAAGCCTTAAATAAGCCAAAGGTATTTACATAAAAAGGGTTGAGTAATGACTTAAAAGCAGCCATGGCATGTGAGAAAGAGGCTGATATCATCTCTTAAGATTCAGGGTCACGGAAGATGAGCAGCAAGCATTTGATAGGGCTGCAGAGGAAACAAATTTTCTGTGGAGGCCCAGGTTTCAAGACAGACCTAAAGCATGTACAGTTCCAACAACATGGGGCCAGAATGACTCGGCTTCCATGTGAATTCTCATGAAGTTTCTGGGGTGGTGGAAGGACTATGAGCCTTGCCACAAGGAGTCAGTAGAGCCCAGGCTTGACTGGGCTGCGAGGGAATCCTACACCAGGTGTGTAGGCTACAAAGACCAGCTTCCAGAACCTTCGCCATGTAATTACAACAAATATAGTAGATACTGGTAGATTTGGGGAAAAGAGTACTGCCTTCTCTGAAGCTGGTCACAGCCCAACCCTATTTTATTTTATTTTTTGAGATAGGCTCTCACTATGTTGCCCAGGCTGTTTTTTTTTTTTTTTTTGGATACAGACTTTCACTCTGTTGCCAGGCTGGAGTGCAGTGGCATGATCTTGGCTCACTGCAACCTCTGCCTCCCAGGTTCAAGCGATTCTCCTGCTTCAGCCTCCTGAGTAGCTGGGACTACAGGTGTGTACCACCACGCCCAGCTAATTTTTGTATTTTTAGTAAAGACTGGGTTTCACACCATGCTGGCCAGGATGGTCTCGATCTCTTGACCTCGTGATCCACCTGCCTCGGCCTCCCAAAGTGCTAGGATTACAAGTGTGAGCCACCAGGTTTTAAACTCCTGGGATTAAGAGATCCTCCTGCATTAGCCTCCTGAGCAGCTGATATTACAGGAGCATACCATGATTTTAATCTTATTTAAAAAAACCTACATTCATTGGGATTATTAATTCTCATTTTAGATAATAATTTAACATATATTAGAGGCCAAAATCAAGAAGTTAAGAGGAATGGCCTATAGAATTAACACAGATGATTATATAACCTTTTACAAGTAATTTTTAACTGTTCTGTAGTACAGTTTCTTGTTTTTAAAAAATTGCCTATGATAATGTCTTACTCCCCTTCTTTATCACAGGCAAATAAGACCATATTTGTCAGAGCTCTTTGGAAGAAAACAGTAAAAAAAAAACAGATGCTATTAAAGATAACTGCCAAACTAGAAAATCTTGCTAAGAAAATTATAATTGACAACTTAATGCAGACAACAACATAATGCTAGGACAATTCAGGATTTATCATTTTTAAGACTTGGTAAACACTAAAAAATAAGACTAAAGTACTTTGGAATGAAATGACAACTTCTATCTATATAGCCTTGAGAATAGAGTATTCAAATTAATTAACCATATACCACTTTATTAATAACCAAAGAAATACAAATTAAAACAATAAAATATCATTTTTTGGTCTGACCAGCCAAAAATTTTAAAGACTGATAATACTTAATGTTGATGAGTGCAGTGCTCATTTCTCTTAACACTGCTGGTAGGTAGATACATTGGTACAATCTTTTAGAAGAGCAATTTGACAATACTTATCCAGACATAAGTGTACGTCTTTTAATTTCACAATTCCATTTATAAAATATGACTTACCAAAACATTATTAAATGCACCACTGTTTGTTTAAAAAATGGGTAACAATTTAAGTATAAATTTGCTGGTGGAATTACAATAAATAATTGTCATGTTATTTACATGAGAAATACATATATATACCAAACACTCATACTCTAATCTGTTTTAATCTGAAATTCATTTCAACAGAAAGCCATACTAATTTATTGAGCAAAAGATTATAGGTGTATTTCAGACATGCATTAAAAAGGGCTGTAAGAAAAAAGACTATAGGTGTATTTCAATATAAATAAAATTAGAAAAATATTTCTGCTTTCGTATCATGACTTTGGGGAAGTACATATTAAAGTACTTTTATTATTTTAAAAAATAGGTAAGTAATGCTTTAAAAAAGAGAATGAGAGACACCCCTTTCATAAATACCCCTTAAATCAATTAGAATTGCCACTTAGGTATGAGGATGAAAAATGACTTTGTACTGATTAGCTGTTAATATAAAATAAACATATGTTACTATGTAGTAAGAAACGCAATTAAGACCTAAAATGAAAGACTCTTAATGAGACACTCATTAGGAATTAGGGTAAACTGAATGTAGAAAACTACATATTCCACATCAAAGCTGTATTTGCTTATTTCAACAGCCCTCTGGTCTTTGAAATTATGACTAAACTCCATATACATTTACAACAATACAATGCAAATAGTGTCCAAAACAGCATTTTTAATATGCTGCAATTTAAAGTAATGGCTGCCTTGTCCTTCTTTCCTTAGACTATTAGACCAGCAAAATCATTGATAAGAAGAATCAGGCCAGGTGTGGTGGCTCACACCTGTAATCCTAGCACTTTGGGAGGCTGAAATGGGTGGATCACCTGAGGTCAGGAGTTCGAGACCAGCTTGACCATGGTGAAACCCTGCTGTCTACTAAATATACAAAAATTAGCCAGGCATGGTGGTGGGCGCCTGTAATCCCAGCTACTTGGGAGGCTGAGGCAGGAGAATCACTTGAACCTGGGAGGCAGAGGTTGCAGTGAGCCAAGATCATGCCACTGCACTCTAGCCACCGTGACAGAGCGAGACCCTGTCTCCAAAAAAAAAAAAAAAAAAAAAAAAAAAAAAAAAAAAAAAAAAGGTCGGGTACAGTGGCTCATGCCTGTAATCCCAGCACTTTGGGAGGCCGAGGCGGGCGGATCATGAGGTCAGGAGATCGAGACCATCCTGGCCAACGTGGTGAAACCCCGTATCTACTAAAAATAAAAAATTAGCCAGGTGTGGTGGCACGTGCCTGTAATCCCAGCTACTCGGGAGGCTGAGGCAGGAGAATCGCTTGAACCCAGGAGTTGGAGGTTGCAGTTAGCTGAGATCACGCCACTGCACTCCAGCCTGGGCAACAGAGCGAGACTCCATCTCAAAAAATAAATAAATAAAATAAAAATAAAAAAAGAAGCATCAAAATAGGCTTCCATTAAACATCTGTATATAACTGCTAATTGTGCATATATTTTCATTTAAATATGCACAAATAGGCCAGGTGCAGTGGCTCACGCCTGCAATCCCAGCACTTTAGGAGGCTGAGGCGGGCAGATCACCTAAGGTCAGGAGTTCGAGACCAGCATGGCCAACATGGTGAAACCCCCGTCTCTACTAAAAATACAAAAATTAGCCAGGAGTGTTGGCATGCTCCTGTAGCCCCAGCTACTCGGGAGGCTGAGGCAGGAGAATCGCTGGAACCCGGGAGGCAGAAGTTGCAATGAGCCGAGATTGCACCACCGCACTCCAGCCTGGGTGACAGAGTGAGACTATGTCTCAAAAAATAAATAAATAAATAAATAAATATGAATACACAAATTTTACATGTTATTTATTACCTCTTTAAATTCAGCCTTTATTTAACAAGCTTATAAAGAAAAAGGGCTAGAATGGGCTTAAAATATTTATTAATGCTATCTCTTGATGCTGTCTTCTGATTCAGTAGGCTCCTTACCCCTATATTATTTAGAGCACTGCTTTATATACATGTTCAGTGACAAAATGGACATGACTATATATATATATATATATCTCACGGAGTAAACATTCCTTTAGGTATGCTGACTGATAGTTATAAACTTGCACATTAATTACAAACTTGCACACTCCCTCCAAAGCCTGACAAATTAGTTATATGCAGGATACTCACATCTGTATAGTGGCCTAGCATATGACATCGGTCACACTGTTTATCCCAGGAATGTCTGAAAAGACATGAGTGGTCCAACATCTTAGGCACAGGACAGTATTCGCAAAGGGGGGCTGGACAGGAATACAGGAGATGTCCTCTCCTGGAGCACAGGAAGCAGCGACGAACTTTCTATGTGGCGAAAAAAACATAAAATCTCTTCAGTCTCAAAAGGTAGAAGATTAGTATTTGTTTTTCAATATAATCCCATAAAAAAATCTTTTCTAATTTGAGATCCCAATAAAGGTAGAATCCTGAGCACAACTGTAAAAATCAAACAAAATGTCCAAAACACTGTATGTATATTGTTTGCCAAAAAGGCTTAGTCTGTACATACTAGCAGCTGGCATATATTCCTTATGCCTCTTCTTATAGGAATATTGACAAAATGAAAGGTATGTAAGAGGGAAAGTAGAATGAGGAGGATATCTAGAAGCTAAGTCATAGGAGGAACAGATACAGAAGAAGCTGTTTTGACTGGAGAAGCAAGAACAAAAAAGGAGCATAAGAGGTGTCTGAACTATTTGAAAAGCAGTCATTTGGAAGAGGAAGGAGAAATGGAAGAAATGTTTGTTAAGAGCTAATTATCTGGTCAGGAAACGTCTAAGATCTTCAGTTCTGTGTTGTTCCAAAGGTTGATGTACCTGCTTAACGTAACTTACATTAATAAACATTTAAAAATGCCCCAAATTATAATTTTCTAACGATAAAAATTATCTCACATTGAAATAAGCTATCTTATGAAGTACAAGGTTTAGAAGTGAAAGGGGTCTCAGGAATCATCTGATTCAATCTTTTCATTTTATAGACAAGAAAACAAGAAGCACAGAGGGTTAAATGATTTGCCCATACAACTAGTAATGATAAGTTAAAATTGATTCCACATTTTTCTGACTCCAAATTTATTATTATTTCTCCGACACTAGGCTGTAAGCTACATGAAATTTAACACACATACTATAAAAAGATTTGAATTCTAAGGTTATAGGGTTTCACACTTGAGATTTTTTTTTTTTTTCTGAGACAGAGTTTCACTTTGTCACCCAGGCTGGAGTGCAATGGTGTGATCTCTGTTACCGCAAGCTCCATCTCCCGGGTTCACACCATTCTCCTGCCTCAGCCTCCCAAGTAGCTGGGACTACAGGCGCCCGCCATCACGCCCGGCTAATTTTTTGTATATTTTTGGTAGAGACGGGGTTTTTCACCATGTTAGCTAGGATGGTCTCAATCTCCTGACCTCATGATCCACCTGCCTCGGCTTCCCAAAGTGCTGGGATTACAGGCATGAGCCACCGTGCCCAGCCTCACCCTTGAGATTTTGAGTTTACAAATGTGGAAAGAAGCAAAGCATATTTCACGTACTCGTGGTAAGGGGCAGTTTTTTGATAAATGACCACGTTTGTCACAATTTCTACAGATAATGTTTTTGTTGGCTGAATAGTACCGCTGGGTCCATCTTCCAGGTGTTCGGTTATTAGCTATCTGGGCCTAAGGGAAAAAAAAATCAAGAATTAAAAAAATTGTTTCACTGCTAAATAAAAGCCATCTACTACTCTTGTTAAAGACAACTATAAGCAAATAAAGATACATCAAGCTTCAAGTCAGTTCCATTACCTTGATAAAGCAAGAGAATTATTAGTTATATCTGTTCAACTTAGAACCTAGCCACAGGGGAACTTTATGATCTCTCTTGTTCTCTTAAAAAGAGGTAGAGGTTGGGCGTGGTGGCTCATGCCTGTAATCCCAGCACTTTCGGAGGCCGAGGTGGGCGGATCACCCGAGGTCGGGAGTTCAAAACCAGCCTGACCAACATGGAGAAACCCCATCTCTACTAAAAATACAAAACTAGCTGGGCGTGGTGGCGCAGGTCTGTAATCCCAGCTACTTGGGAGGCTGAGGCAGGAGAATCGCTTGCGCCTGGGAGGCGGAGGATGTGGTGAGCCGAGATTGTGCCATTGTACTCCAGCCTGGGCAACAAGAGTGAAACTTCATCTCAAAAAAAAAAAAAAAAAAAAAAAAAGAGGTAGAAAAACATAAAAGGAGGTGCCATAAAGGTAACTCTACTGCTTTTTGTCTGCCCCTCCCGCCTGCTGAGTCTTTTATACTTCTCCATGTGATTTTTTTTTTTTAATCTTTCTCTACTTATGTTTCAGATCGAGCAGGGGTACTGACATGCATCACTTAGACACCGCGGTAGCATTCAGTCAAAGCCACTGCTGACTTCTTTTCTTTCTTTCTTTTTTTTTTTTTGAGACGGAGTTTCACTCTTTTGCCCAGGCTGGAGTGAAGTGGCGTGATCTCGACTCACTGCAACCTCTACCTCCCTGGGTTCAAGCGATTCTCCTGCCTCAGCCTTCCGAGTAGCTGGGACTACAGGCGCCCGCCACCACACCTGGCTAATTTTTGTATTTTCAGTAGAGAAGGAGTTTCGCCATGTTGCCCAGTCTGATTTCGAACTCCTGACCTCAGGTGATCCACCCACCTCAGCCTCCCAAAGTGTTGGGATTACAGGTGTGAGCCACCACGCCCGGCCAGCCACTGCTGATTTCTATAACTGAATGTACACCATGTTTTTCTGAATGGGAGGGCTACTTAAATTTTGAGTTAGGGAATGGTGTTTTTATGACTTTGTCTTTTGTAAAGTTAGTACAGCTACCCAATATATCCATTCTTTTGAACAGCACAGGGTTACTGCCTACAAGACTGGATGATAATAAAAGACTGATAATCCAGTCTTCCTTTATAGAAATAAAGGAATGAGATAATTTCTTTCCACTGGAATCCTTTTAAGATCCATTCTGCCTACAGAGTGACCCAATTCTAACTGTCCCATATTCTAATCTAAATCTAGGATCTTGTAAGAGAGTACCAACAATGCATATCATATGGAATATCTAAAGAGGAACTGTAAATCCCAACCATGCTTTAGCTTGTTTGGTAGAATTCCATCTTTAAAAAAGTTTTCATCTTTTATTTGTTATTTTGCTGAACTGGCCAAGTGGACCACATGTAAGTACAATCTAGCTATCTCCCAAAACCAAGTTATAAAATTATTCTCTTTTTGTAGCATCTGCCACAATTAAGGCTAATAATCGACAAAGACAAACACCTGCCACATCCTAAAAATAGACTAACCATTTCCTTACACTGAAGAAGCAGTTATTTCCGGTGTTGATCTTTTTAGTGGTACCAGGCCATATGGGCTGAGAGGACTCACCGCAGGAGAGAAACAGAAAGGGAAAGGGGACTGGATGATTACAGCTATTAACTCACTGACAAAACTCAAGGCTGAACCAAGTTTCTGAAGAGTTAAATCACTCATATGCTAAAATCAAATGTTTTCTTATAAGCCACTTAAACTTATTAATGTTCCAAAAGTTATCATAATAAACTATGAAGCAAAGGAAATTATTATTCTGAATTTTAAAAACAATTTGATTTTACCTCAATGTCTTTGTCACTGATGGACCAGTTTATACCATCTTCTCCTACAAAACAAATAAATTATTACTTAACCGTGGCACTTTTAAAGGACTTATAGATTGACAATAGATTACACAATTTATGAGTACTCAAATTGGACCCCAAAGGTACACTGAGAAATGTTGAATACCTGAAATTCCTATTTTGGCTCTGTTATTAATTATGTGGCCCTGGACAAATACTTAACCTCTCTGAGTCTCAGTTTTCTGACCTGTGAAATGGGATAATAGTATTTTCCCTGTCTGCCTAAAAAGTCCTGTGAGAATAAAATGAGGTATGTGAAAATACATTGAAAAGCATCAGACTACATACAAATATTAAAACAAAAAAAAATCAGTGAAGGGCCCAAAAATACAACAGCAGATGCAGAATGAAATCTTAACTTCTTTTATCTGACTAAAGCAGAGCTTTACTGAGGCAGCTGTCACAACCCTCTCACACCTCCAGGAGGATCCACAGGAGGGAGATGACTGACACTGGGCACTGAGACATAACAAAAAAATTGTGTAAATGAGATCTTTCTGTCCTTTGACTCCCTAAGCTACCCCCTCTTGTTAAGTTGGTATATAGCCCCTTACTTCTTGTTTTTTTTGGAGACAGGGTCTTGCTCTGTTGCCAAGACTGGAGTACAGTGGTACCATTTTGGCTCACTGCAACCTCCGCCTCCCAGGCTTAAGCAATCCTCCCACATCAGCCTCCTGAGTAGCTGGGACTACAGGAACTTGCCACCACGCTAGGCTAATTTTTATAATTTTTTTGGTAGAGACAGGGTTTCACCATGTCACCCAGGCTGGTCTCAAACTCCTGAGCTCAAGAGATCCACCCACTTCAGCCTCCCAAAGTGCTGGCATCTGTGGTGTGCCACAGCAAGAGGCATAACCCCTTACTTCTATAACCCTCTAAACTCTTCTTCAGAGTTACTGATATTGAGTGCTCCTTCAAGTGTGAATAAACCTTATCTTTTCTCCAGTTAACCTGTCCAGTATCAGTTAACTTGCAGGCCCACAATTTGAACTCAGCTTGGTAGAGGAAAAGTATTTCTACCAAATATGAGTATTAACTGTGTCCACTAGCTTTGCATTCTACATGACTTTCATTATAACAATAAAAAAATTAGACTCTGAATAATATCTCACTAATAGGGTTAGGTTCTTAGCACTGTATTTTATAACATCAAAAACAGCAAAATAAAAGAAAAAAAAGGAGGCCAAATATCCAGAAACCACTGATTAATCTAAAAATACAACTGTAAAAACCTAGTGGGGGAAATAATCTCCCACATTTTCTTGTATCAGCTATTTTCTTTTCTTTCCACTGTCCTTTCACAAACGTGCAAATGGCTGCTATTCCTTTGGTCCACCCATGGCCAAGGGGGAAGGGACCTATGACTAATGCAGAAACTAAAGTGTTGACAAAAGGACTGAAAGATCTTTTTCTCCCTTTAAAGCTAAGATTTCCTCTGTCCTCCTACCTTACTACTTTCCTCTATCTCAAAAACACAAATCAAGCTTGACTTGTTTCTTTGAAAGGCTTTTGAAGAGACATGAAGTAATCTACATTTTCCCAGGCCTACCAGGAGTAAGTGTCTAGAGATATATTTTTAAATAAAAAACTTTTCTAAGAAAACCATGAGGCTGCTTTACAAAAAGACCAATCCACAGGTATGCAGAGATGCTGTGCTGATGATTATTTTCTTTGTAACATTTGGAGGCTGTATCCATGTACTGAGAGTGAAGAATACATTAAATAGCAGCAGCTTCTATTCCTTCATCAACCATCCATGCTATTATTCTTTCATTCAAAGGATCCATGTATGAAGCATGCTTTGCTACAACTTTCAAAGCTGCTTTTTGTATCTCAATGTCTTTCATCATTAAAATTCAAAATGACCACTTGAAATTATGTTAACTATAAGACTGACTTAAAATTGTTCTTAAAAAATGAAATATAAAACCAATGAAATGCAAAATGGCAACTGTTACCACTCTCCAAATTTACACATAAACAGAAAACAGTAAAAAAGGAAGGTTTGAAGGAGGGAGATCGACTCTATTCAGATTGTTTTAACAATCCTGTGGGATTCAAAAATATTCTTGTGTACAGTTGTCCCTCAGTATATATGAGGGATTGGTTCCAAGACTACCCTGGTAGAACCAAATCCTTGCACACTCAAGTTCCCGTCAGCCCTGTGGAACCTGCACATATAAAAAGTTGGCCCTCTATATACGTGGGTTTCACAGCCTATGAAAACTGTATTTTCAATCCATTTTTGGTTGAGAAAAAGCTGCTTATAGGCAGACCTATGAAGTTCGAACCCGTGTTGTTTAAGGGTCAACTGTACTAACAACTCCTCAAAAAGTTATAGCATATTCATATTCTTACTATAGAAAATTCATCAACAAGTATACAAACTAAGTTTCAACAATAGATCAAGTCAGTATTTCTCAAGTGGTATATGAAGCAAAGACATCACCAGGAACACATAAGGCAATTCTTGTCCCTGCCATGGCTCCAAGGTTCCAGTTTTGATTTGAACCTAGTAATGACAGCAGCTTCCTGCCCTTGATCTTTACCTATTGTGTCTAAACTCAAAATCTCACCCCAAGGAAAGCTTTGTCTAGGGCAACTCCTCAGAACTTCCACAAACAGCAAATTCTCCAACTTGTTAAATTCTGGGTATGGTACTTGATAGAAATCTGGCTTCTAGAGTTAACTGTGCCGCTAATTTGCTGTGTGGTGTTGGGCAGGATACTTAAGATCTCTGGGTCTGTATGACAATGGGTTAGAATAAATGGCATCCATGGTGGCACCTTCTAGTACTGAATTTCTGATTCTAATTTTCTCTCATTACTGGAATTATATACATTGTCACGTTGTGTAATTTACCTGAATTAAATCTTCCAGACCTTTGCAACTAGCACAAGGTAATTCGCCTTAAAGAGGACTTTCCATACGGCCCAGGAACACTCATCTTCCATGTGTCCACCACCCAATGCCATAGAATGTTAAATGGGACTGCCCTGAATTGTAAAATTAAGACTGCCCTAAGAATGCCTGTCATCAACCCATAGCTGCTTTTATAGGGTTGTTCTTGCTGATAACTGGGATTGTGATTCTGTTCAAATTTCAGAGCCGTGATCAAAGCAGTAGCTGGTAATTCTTTCTTTGTATGAAATCAACTCCGTTTAACAAACATCTATTGGAAGATTAAATGAGCAAGGTGCTAGAGGGTAAAGAAAGATGTAAAGAGCTTATAGCCTTAGTAGAGGACAAGGTGACAAACGAAAGGAGAAAGAAAGAGTAAGAGAAGGCCAAACAAATGCTATGGTAAATTCAGAAGAATGGATAATACCTCAATTTTAGGGAGAGAAGGAAAAAAGTTACAGAAGGCAGGGCCGTAAAGGAAACTAATGAGGTGTAACTTACATGTAATAAAATGTACCTATGTAAAAATACAGTAGGATTCAATTTGGCAAATGTATACACCTGGGTAATCACTATAAAAATCAAATGTAGAACATTTCCATCATCCCAAAATGTTACTTTGTGCACATGTGCAGTCAATCCCCCACCTGAGGCAACCACTGATTTGCCTTCTCTCACGATAGATTTGTTTTGCCCCTTCCAGGACCTCACATATATGGAATTATACGTTATGTACTATTTTGTGTCTGTCTCATTTCCTCCTGAATATTTTTAAGATTCATCCCTGTTGTTGGGTATTAGCAATTTGTTCATTTTTTTATAATCAAGCAGTATTCCATTGTATGGATATAACAATTTGTTTAGCTATTCATCTGGTGATGATATTGATATAGTTTGAATATATGTCCTGGCCGAATCTCATGTTGAATTGTAATCCCCAATGTTGGAGGTTGGGCCTGGTCAGAGGTGACTAGGTCATGGGGGTGACCCATAACCTACAGTCTATTTTTTTACACTTTGCCCCCATTTGTGGAACTATTCTGCTATCTTTATTACACATACAGACAATTACTGCATAGTAGTTATGAGAAACATCTTTATATGTGCATGGTGATCCAGGGCTATAAATTGCTTTAAACATCATTTAGTCTTCAAAGCAACCCTGTCCATTATGCTTACACTAATGTTCACTTTTTTATGTGTGTGCTTTCCAACATAGGGCAAAAAAGGGCGACTTGTATTTTGTTGGAGATGCAGTGGTAATTTAGCTATTTACTGATATCAGACTGCATTCACATTTCAAACGTTCTGGGGAAGAATATGGGCTGGATTTCTGAAAGATAGAAGCTAGTTCACCCCAAGCTTTAGTTATACTTAGTCTGCTTACATTTGGCTGTGTTAGAAGAGCTGAAGATCGTCATTCCTTTACTAAGAGAGTAGCTACAGATAATTACAGAGCTGGTTATCATGACCTTTAGGGACAATCTGACAGAAGGTAGTAGCTAGTAAAATGTATTTCCAAAGATCACCAAAGATTATTGAGACAGAGGGCTCAGTTCAGCATATCCAGTTGGTTATCTACACCGCAGGTGCCAGAGACTAAGAATCATTTCCTCAGCCTAATTTCCATATAGCTCCTTCTTATAAGGAAGCCATAGATGCCTTACATTTTCCAGATATCCTAATTTGTTACATCTAAAATTGTAAAACTCATTATTATATTTCACCAAAAGGTAGGTATGTATGATTCAGCATACAATGAACTAGAATTTAATATTCCACAAATCAATGGTGAATTTGCCACTAATGGTGATTTAAGAATGTAAATGCAACTTTCCTTAAAAAGTTTCCATTTAATAGTGTCAAGTTAATTTTCAATAAATATTTACTGAATCTCTCTCATGTAAAAGACATTTTTGGAGACAGAAAGATGTCTTAGACATGGTGCTTGCCCTCAAAGAATTTACCATATAGTAGAATAATATGTGCTATCTAATGCTACCTAAAAAGCATGACTGTGTTAAATAAATAACCATGATAATTGAATTTTTAACAATAGAAGGCTAATTTAATTAACAACAAGCTTTTAAAAAGGACAAAAAGTATATATTATTTGGGAAAATGAGCTATTTAAAAAGCAATACTGAATTCTGCCTATAACAAATTAATTTATGATGATTACATCACTAAAACAGTCTCCTATATGTAAGATAGCTTCTAAAACAAGTGTGGGCCAGATGCAGTGGCTGACTCCTGCAATTCCAATACTTTGGGAGGCCAAGGTGGGAGGACTGTTTGAGCCTAGCTTAGGTAACATAGTGAGACCTCATCTCTACGAAACACACACACACACACACACACACACACACACACACACACACACACAAACTAGCCAGGTATGGTGGTGCATGCCTATAGTCCCAGCTAATATGGAGGCTGAGGTGGGAGGAGGGCTTGAGCCCTGGAGGTTGAGGCTGCAGTAAGCCAACATGGTGCCACTGCCGCCACTGCGTGCCAGCAGCCTGGATGACAGCGCATGACAACCTTCGCGATAAATAAATAAAGTAAGTAAGTAAAACTAAGTGTGTAGGTCTGTTAGCAACTGTTCTATCCCCAAATAATCTGTGTGCCTATACATTATAGACTGTGAGCTCATGGTTAGAGATTCGGAAAAAAAAAAAAAGAAACAATAGCTGGTATATACCTGTAATCCTTAAGGAACCAAAACTTTGGACTTTCTCAATATCTATTCCTGTACTTGCATCATGAAACCAAAACTCTCCCTGATCTGAGATGGCATTCTTTCAATGCTCTAAAACATAGTGAAATGTTAAGGAAAAAAAAGAAAAAAGGAAAAGTAGAAAAGGTTGTAAATAACTCTCCCACCAGTTAACTTAAGTATTTGGGCAGTTATACCATAAAAGTAATAGCATAAAACTTATTGTCCACACCTTCTTTTTATACATCTTTTTTACATTTGTAATATTTTAAAACAAAAGGTCATGTCTGTAATGTGCTTTTCCAGTTCTGTACTTTTGTTCATGGCATTCCCTTGATCTCCAACACTGTCTACCTTTTGCCCAATTTTCCACCCAACCCAGTACAATTTTCATGATTGCAAACTTTGAATATCTTTTAAGGCTCAGCTCCTCAAAATCAATGTATTTAGGCTGGTGCAAAAGTAATTGTGGTTTATGCCTTTGAAAGTAATGGCAAAAACCACAACTACTTTTGCACCAACCTAAAGTAAATAGATAATATTCAGCAGTTTTCTCACTTGACCTCTAGGAGGCATTTACAATTCTCTTGGCTGATAGAACAAAATGCTTTCCTATCTCTTGTCCCCCTTTGTGGTTTCCTCTTCACTAGTTACTTGGTATACTCCATACTTTACCCATTTTCTTCTACAACTTTTCTCCCAGATTATGTCATATATGCCCATAGTGAGAACTACCAAATTTGCTTCTCTAGCCATGTCTTTTCTTGGATGTCTCACAGGTATTTCAAACTCATATTCACTAAAATGGAATTATTTTCTCTTCCTTAAAGATACAAAAACAAAACCCCTACTTTCCTTCCTTGTATGTCTTCTATCTCAATGACTTGCACCATAGTCTGTTTTCCAAACCAGAAAGCTCAACTCAGGTTCTCTCTCACTTTTCATATCAAATACTATAAATAGGGTATCCAAAATAGCCTCAATGCCACGATTTTAGCTCAGGACCACTTAATATCTTACCCAGATTATGAAATATCTTCTGACTATTTCTATTATCACACACTGCTTTTCATTCCACTGCTACTTAAGTAATTTCTAAAATATAAATGTGAATACATTCTGCCCTGAATGGTCCCTTGCTGCCTACAGGATACACATAAAATTCCTTTGTATACTATACAATGTGCCTTTCATGATTTGGCCTTTACTTTCATGATTTGGCCTTTACTTGTTTCTCTTGCTTCATTTTCCTGGTCCCAATGTTCCAGCTATGCCTAATAATTTCCCCAGTTTCCTGTTGTTCTCTGCAGCTATGCCTATACATTTATTCTGTGGAACACCTGAATTCACCCCCAATTCATCCACTTGGAATTGGGATATGGCCATCAAGTCCCTACTCACCTCCACTGAAGTCTTATCTGGTACCCCTTCAAAAGCAGTGATGATCACTCACAACTTTGTAATATCTGGACTTAACTGTGTAATTTCTATCTTTATATCTTCCAAACATCAAAGCATGATTGCTTAGTTACCATAGGTATTCATATTTACTGAATTAATTAATTAAATAACATTTCTATCTCCTTTGAATTCCCTCTAGTAGTAGAAGTAAATTCTCCTTCAGTCATAGTCTGAAAGCATCTTATCTATATTTTCAAGGATCCTGGGCACTTTTAAACTCTGTATTAAGGGCTATGTCAATAAATATTTTATTTCCCTCTCTATATCAAAGTGCTCTATGGACTGAGACCATATCTATTTTATCTATCCAGTTATCAGAATAACTTGAATACTATGAATAATATCAGAAAATAAAATTGAAAAGAAAAAGCAAAAAAGGAAACATTCATATGGACAACTGTATGAATAAGTACTGTTCTGAATTGGGGCACATAAGCCAGTAAATAATTTAATGAACTATCATTATATAATAAAAATTCAGTAAGACAGTTCTCTTTGTTTAGGGAAAAAACTTACAATTTCTGTAATAACCAGTTCTTAAGAATTAAAATGGACTTCAAAAAACAACCCTGCCATTACTGAAATAACACTGTGGTAGAAACAGAATCCACATGAAATAAGATAATTGCATGTTTATAGATAATCATGCTTGTACCTAACCAGTGTTTATGGATTAAAGACCACACAGACAAAGCTGCCAGATATTTATGTCATATCCTTTCCTGAGCCTAACTCCACTACACCAGATAAACCCCTTGGGATCTTTCTCACTTCTAATAAGCAACTGAAACAGCCACAGATGAAGTTACTATTCCCAACTTCATCAGCAGCATCTGTTTTCAACGGAAACTTTTGAAATACACACAATGCCACATTCAAATCCCCTGAGGGCTAAGCCACTTTATTCACTTACATTCTTCTGAAACTGCTCCCTTTTTCTGTCTTGGTTTTCTCAAATTTATACTTTTCAATTATAACATTGGTCACAAAACTGTTTTAGTCATTAAAATTTTTCACTGTATAAGTGGCAATAGTTTAAATAAAACACATTTTAATAGCAGAATTTGCAAGTAAAGCATCAAAATGTTCATCTTATTTTAAATCATATTAAATTTACCAGAAACAATTTTTTATTTTTAACATGTGTGTAAAAGAAATGGGGATTTCTTTTTTTAGAGGTAGAGGAGGAAGAAGAAAGAGGAAATAAATACAGGTGCTTAGCAGAGGGTCATATAGAGCTTTCGCTAAGTTATTAGTCATATTAAGGCCTTTGTCTATGGAGAGAGAGAGAGAAGGCCTCATCTCCCATTACCTCTGTCCCAAACGTTCAGTCAGTGAACCACCTGGCTTACAAAATATTTATTCAGAAATTTAAAATGACCCTCAAATCATACTAAGAAACAAGAAAGAAAGGGAAAATGTATCAACAGAAACAGTCAATATAACAAGATTATGGAAGTTGTTTTTTCTTCCTTTAAATATACTGACTATGGATGCCTGTTCCCCACCTCCAACTGTCCACAAAAGGCAAAAAGAAAATATACCATATGTATATTTACAATATCTGTAAAATGACAAGCATAAATAAAACCCATTTAAATCTAATCAAGAAGCTACTTTTAAAAAGGTTTCTAGGGAAGATTTAAAGGCTGTATAAAAGTTTCTATCTATCTGCTGATAGCTAGCAATCTGGAAGCTACATTCTTTCAGTTATCCTATTATTTCTTTTAACATTTCCTTGTCTACTTCCTGACTCCTTTTTTTCTCCAGTGTCTGGTTCTCTGCTTACTTGTTCCTTGGTGAAACAAATCCAGAACAATTTGCTTTTTTCCTATAATTTTTTTTAGGTCAGATTTGCTTCACATCTTCCTCCAGACCTTAGATCAAACATGTTCAGGCTCACACTTCAAACTGTTTACAGGATATATCACAAATGTTTATATTACATTCATTGCAAGCTATAACATATCCAAAGCACAACCTACCATTCCAACTCCACTTGAAATGGGCATAAATACCTTCTCCCCTATTGTTATGAGTGCCTCAAAACAGGTTTGTTTGCATCTTAACCTAATATTTCACTCCCATTGTCCAATCAGAATAGGTCTTAAAATTCCACATTATATTCCTTTAAAATGTCTTTCCAAGCCAGTACTTTGGTTCCCCCTTCCAGTCATTACAGTTGTTCATCACCTGAGATCTAAGACTGTTTTCCCTGTGCCTTCAATTTCATTTGATACATACCAGCGAGATTCTCTCTAAATCCAGTTTCATATTTTACTATTAATTTTTATCAAAGCAATACACATGGTTTTTAAAAACTCTAAAAATACTAAAATACCATGTAAGAAACAATACCAGTTCTCTCCTCCTTATGCCAGCTCCCATTCCCAAGAGGCAACCACTTACACCTCTTGCTATTTCTTTTGGTATTTACTTGAATATTTCTAAATCATGTTCATTCTGTTTTTTTTTAATGGATTTATCTATCTAATTTCTAAATTCATAATAAAAGAGGATTTAATTATCTTATAACACCCTATCTGAATTTCTTCTCCCTCCATCCTCAGGTTAAATTTATATTCAATTTATATAATGACTATGTAGTGAATGAAGTACATTATTTTTCTTCTTACACAACATTTTAATTTTTCTGAATTTAATAGCAGTTTAGTTGTTTCATTTACTTGGCCTAAAAAGTCTACCTACTACCCTACCAGCCACCAGTACTTCATCTCTCCAAGTTTAGTCATCTTCACATCTCTAGTGCCTTTTCATTATATTCCTGCTCCTTTATACTAGGAAAAATAGTTTTCACCATTCACTATCTGGGTCCAATGGGACCTTTTAATAAACTAAGTCATTTCATAATTTATAGAAGAATAAAGAGATAATGAAAAATAATTTTATAAGACATTTTAATGAGACTATAAAGACAGCAAACGCATATTATTCCATAAACATACCTGAAATATGCAACATGTGGAATGCAACTACTCATCAATTATCATGCATGAACCTAGATTACATCTGTTTAAAAATACTCATATCAGATTTTAAATATATTTCTTCTTTGCTTAATAACTGTAAAACATGGCCAGGCGCAGTGGCTCACGCCTGTAATCCCAGCAGTTTGGGAGGCCAAGGCAGGCGGATCACCTGAGGTCGGGAGTTCGAGACCAGCCTGACCAACATGGAGAAACCACGTCTCTACTAAAAATACAAAATTAGCCGGGTATGGTGGCACATGCCTGTAATCCTAGCTACTCGGGAGGCTGAGGCAGGAGAATCACTGGAACCCAGGAGGTGAAGGTTGCGGTGAGCCAAGATTGCACCATTGCACTCCAGCCTGGGCAACAAGAGAAAACTCCATCTCAAAAAGCAAAATTCCATCTCAAAAAAACAAAAACAAAAACAAAAAAACTGTAAAACATTTTCACTTTTAGATTCATAAGCAACAATCAGAATGATCAATTGAAAAAAAATTTTTCATTTCTATATCATCTATTTCCTTCTAATCGCCCCTGCATATATACCTGTCTACAGCATTTGCCCATTTGATAGAAACCAGATGAAGTAAATTTAGATGCACAAATATCATAAAATATAAAAAAAATCACATGTCCTTATCAAAGCAGGATGATTCAGATTCCTGTCATATATTGTGTGATGAACAATGTTCTGTTGAATGAGTAACTATGAGAATACTCTGCTTTTTTTTTTTACACAGAAATACATCATTCACTTATCAGTTCTTGAGTTTTAGAAAAAACATCTACCAATATCCACTGAAAAATCGTAGTCTGAGAATTACTTAAAAGATGAAGTTCATTACATCATTAGGTTCTAGTACCTAGACTACGTGTTTCTTTGCATTCATCTTCTGATTCATCTAAAAATTGTGAAAACATGTTTTGTCAATTTCCTATTTGCCATTTTGTGTGGAAAATATAAAATTGTGAATTCTCAGCCTTGTTCAATGAAAGTGAAAGAAGATTATAAAGACAGTGTGTCTCCAGACTTCTACTGCACATTCTTGAAAGATAATGCAATACTTTAGGCAGCACAATAATAAAAGTGAAGGATGATGTAACAGTGATGATTCATGTCACTCCTGCATTATCCTTCTAGGCAATTTCATCATTCTTCTGTTTTTTTAAAAAATTAATAATTTAGTCTTTTTCAGTACAACTGGAAATAATGAATAAGTAATGATAAAATTATTCCTAGGATGATGAAACAGTATAGTTTTTCAAGATATGGCAGGAGGCCATGAAGTATCTTAGATTTATAAAAGGGTCCAATGTACCCACACAGTAATTCTGAAACAGAATTAGTTTTATTGTGAAGAAAAGTAAAACTCTTCTCTAGTCTTTGGAAGACGTTTAAGAAAGAATCAAAGTATGTACTATCAATTCCTTTTTTTTGGAGACAGAGTCTCACTCTGTCGCTCTGGCTGGAGTACAACAGCCCCATCTCAACTCACTGCAACCTCCATCCGCCTCCCGGGTGCAAACAATCCTCCCATCTCAGCCCTCCAAGTAGCTGGTACTACTGCGACATGCCACCACACTTGGCTAACTTTAGTATTTTTTGTACAGATGGGGATTTGCTACGTTGCCCAGGCTGGTCTTGAACTCCTGGGCTTAAGTGATTCACCCGCCTTGGTCTCCAAAAGTGCTGGGATTACAGGCATGAGCCACTGCACCTGGCCTCAATTCTTACAAATAGTTAGAAACACTCAAAATAAAAAAAAATTTTCAAACTAAAATTGGGTCCAATAAACCTGACGGTATATTCAGGGTTAAACTAAACATTACAATTATTCCCAATATTTACCATTCGTTTATTATTCAACAAATATTAACTCAGTTACTATCATTTGCAAGCACTATTCTAGATGCTTGGGATATACATATCAATGAACAAAATAGACATTGCTTTCCTTGATAGAACTTATCGTCTAGTGGGAAAGTGAAACAATTAAAAACCAAACATATTAAATATGTAAATGATGTACATTAGAGAGGCATAAGAGCTTTGGAAAAAAGAAAAAGTAGAGCAGGGTAATGGAAATTGGGTACGGGTTATAATTTTACATAGGGTAGACAGAATACCCTTCACTGACATTTAAGCAACAACTTAAAGGAGATGGAAGAATTAGCCATGTACTTCTGCGGTAAGAGCATTCTAGGCAGTAGGCACAGCCAAAGCAAAGTTCTTAAGGCAAAAATATTCCTGATGTGTTTAAGGAACCGGAGACAGGCCAGTATGGCTAGAGTGCAGAAAATGAAGGGAATGTGAAGATAAGAGTACAGAGGTATTAGTTTATGAAGGGCTTTGTAGGCCATTATAAGGATTTTGACTTTTACTCTGAGTGAAACAAAAACTCGTAAGAGTAATATGATTTGACTTATAACTCAAAGAATCACTCCACTGAGAAGAAAAAATAGATGGGAAGGGCAAGTATAGAAGCAAGGAGATCAGTTAGAATGTTACTGCAATAATTCAGTCCAAAAAAGATAGTACCTCTGACCAGGGTGGAGTAGTGGGTATGCTGAGAAGTAGAGGAATTCTGAATATAATCTGGAGGTAAAGCTAATAAGATTTGTTGAAGAACTGGATATGAAAGTAAAAGAGGCCAGGCGTGGTGACTCATGCCTGTAATCCCAGCACTTTGGGAGGCCGAGGCGGGCAGATCACGAAGTCAGTAGTTCGAGACCAGCCGGGCCAACATGGTGAAACACTGTCTCTACTAAAAATACAAAAAATTAGCCAGGTGTGGTGGCAGGCGCCTGTAATCCCAGCTACTTGGGAGGCTGATGCAGGAGAATTGCTTGAACCCGGGAGGCAGAGGTTGCAGTGACCCGAGACCACACCACTGCACTCCAGCCTGGGCGACAGAGCGAGACTCCACCTCAGAAAAAAAAAAAAAAAGTAAAAGAAGAACACAGTAAAAGATGACTACCAGGTTTTTGGCCTCAGCAACTAAAATGATAATTACTGCAACTAAAAAATGCAGAGGAACATGTTTTGAGGGAAAGATGAATTTAGTTTGGACAGGCTGGATTAGCAATAGTATTAAAATATTCAAATGAAGATGTGGAGTATGCCATTGGATACTGGATTATGAGTCTTAAGTTTCAGAGACAGATCTGAACCGGAAATAAAATTTGTCAATTATGGCATGGAGATGGTATTTAGAACAGGACTGGGTGAGAGTACCAAGGGTTTGAGTGTAGAGAAAGGATAGAACATGAGCAAGAATTTAGGAGTAACCAGTGAGGTGAGAGGAAACTTGGTGGGGGAATAGGTCAGTGCCCCGTAACCAACTAAACACAATGTATCTATCAAAGAAGAGGTGTTATCGATTATGGTAAATGCCACCAATAGGGCAGGTAAGAAAAAGACTGAGAACTGACCCTTGAATTTATTAGGAAAGTCACTGGTGATCCTATTAAGAGAAGTTTGGATGGAATGGTGATGCAAAAACCTGGCTGGATTAAAAAGAGAACTGAAGGAGAGAATTCAGGGGCAGTAAATATAGACAAATGTTTGATGATTTTGACCACAAAAGAAATATTCATTCACCATAATGTGGTACCCTATCTCCTTAAAAGTTCTACCTTCTATTATGGCAAGACATGACTTGGTATAGAAGGAAGAATTTGTATATTAGATGGATAACAAGCCCCCAAAGCTACTTGGGTTTCAATTTAGCTCCAGAAAAAAAAAAAAATCTATCTACCTATAAAAAAATCTATCTATCTATCTATATAGATAGATAGATAGATTTTTTTTTTTTTTTGAGACAAGGTCTCACAATGTCACCCAGGCTGGAGTGTAGTGGTGCAATCATGCCTCATTGCAGGCTCAACCTCCTGGGCTCAAGCAATCCTCCCACCTCAGCCTCCCGAGTAGCTGGGACCACAGGTGTGTACCACCATGCTTGGCTAATTTTTTATATTTTTGTGTTATATGGGGTTTTGCTATGATGCCCAGGCTGGTCTCAAATTTTTGGGCTCAAGCCATCCACCTACCTCAGCCTTCCAAACTGCTTGGATTACAGGCATGAGCCACTGCACCCAGCCTCTAGACAGAATATTGACAGAAGGTCTTTAAGTCCAAATGGTTAAATGTTTTTTTTTTTTAACCATTTAAACTCACACTGTGTTGACTTTCATTTCTAATACATATAATATGTCCTGATAAAAACCAGAATACTTTTATGGAGCAAAAAAGCTGTAAAAACAAGAAAAACCTTCACATTTGTTACATATTTAAAAAAAATTTAACACCATTGATCAAATGTAATTAGGACTAGCTACATAAATGTACCTATAATAAGTATATAATAGTAATTAGGACTAGCTACATAAAATGCAAAAAAGGTACTTTTTTGTGTGTAAAAACACATAAATATGTATACACACAGAGAAATAAAACAGTTAAACAGTTTCTACCTGTTTTTGTGTACTTCCTTTTCAGATATTGCTTGCTTAGAGTCTTGGCCTCTGTTACCGTCTAACTTGAATTCATAAAACTCAATGGCTCATGGTTTTCAAAGCTTAGGCCAACGTTTGCAGAACAAAGTCGCTTTGTTATTATAGGTACCAATGTACCTATAATAAGTATTACTGATTTGAAGTTGAGATTGCCAGAAAGGAAGCAAGAAGGCACGAGGGATTGGAAATTATTACATACAACTTTATGTTAAAAGGAAAACAACTTTTAAAAAACCTCATCCTAGTTGACTGTATACTTTTGTACAAATGCTCATCCTGATTTTTGAAGAAATTGATTTTAATGTATGACACCTCAAAGAAAATATGTATAATACAAAAAGAATGTTCAAATCCCCACTAACAGACTTTTCTAGAGAAAGAAAATCATGGCTGGGCATGGTGGCTCATGCCTGTAGTCCTAGCTACTTGGGAGGCTGAGGCAGTAGGACTGCTAGAGCCCGGGAGGCAGAGGTTGCAGTGGGCAGTAATTACACCACTGCACTTCAGCCTGGATGAAAGAGAGAGGCTCTGTTTCAACAACAGCAGAGAGGAAGGAAGGGAGGGAGGGAGGGAGGGAGGGAAGGAGGGGGGAGGGAGGGAGGGAGGGAGGGGGGAGGGGGAGGGAGGGAGGGAAGGGGGGAGGGAGGGAGGGAGGTGGGAGGGGAGGGAGGGAGGGAAGGGGGAGGGGGAGGGAGGGAGGGAAGGGGGAGGGGGGGAGGGAGGGAGGGAAGGGGGAGGGAGGGACCGAGGGAAGCAGGGAGGGAGGGCGGGAACGGGGGGGAGGGAGGGAGGGAAAAAGAGAATCAAGATTAAATTAATAAAAAAAGAATATAGGACATAAAAACAGCTAATACATATAAAGAGCTTATTCTGTGCCAGGTACTAAGTTAAACATTTATGTATTTTTCTTTTCTTTCCTTCTTTCTTTTTTTTTGAGACAGGGTCTCACTCATTTGCCTAGGCTGGAGTGTAGTGGTGTGATCTTGGCTCACTGCAGCCTCAGACTCCCGGACTCAAGCAAATTCTTGTGCCTTGGCCTCCCGAGTAGCTGAGAATTCAAGCACACCTAGCTAATTTTTGTGTTTTTAGTAGAGATGGGGTTCCACCATGTTGCCCAGGCTGGTCTCAAGCTCCTGATTTCAAGTGATCCACCCTGGCCTCCCAAAGTGCTGGAATTATAGGCATAAGCCACTATGCCCAGCCTGTATTTCTAATTTAACTCTCATAACAATCTTATAAAGGTAGGTATTACAATTTTATTTCACAGATGAGAACAGGTGAGGTTTATGAATTCATAAAAATATGAATAATAATTGATTTAATACCAAAAATCTTCTCAGTGGCAGACTAGAGGGCTCAAACCCATGTTTACATCCAAACCATGCTCTTAACCAATATGCTATATAATCTCCCTAAATTATTTTATTAATAGTGTTCTGACTTTCTCTAATAATAAAATTACTGGTACTCATTTCAACAATTTCATTTCATCATGTACCACATGACAATTACTAATGGGAAAACATGTTTAAAATTGCATCTTTCTACTTTTAACATAGGACTATATTCTGATATGGATATGAATGATGGTATCTGAAGTTATACTAGTCTTCTATGTAGAGAGAAACTTGACTGAGATTTTACAAAAATAATGCCCCAAGTTTCTACTTGTGGTTAACTTTTATTATATAATTACACCAGGATGTAAGGAGACAGGAACCAGTTCCATCTTCCTCTCTGTTGTATCTCTATCACCTGTGTGGTGTTTGTCACATAGTAAGTGCTCAAAAAATACTGCTTAATGAATAAATTTTGAAGAAACAAGTGATTTTCCTAAACATATGCCAATTTAAAAAAATCTTTAATAGTCAATTGTCATCTGTCTGAGTCACTGGTTAACTCTTCTATTTATATAAGCAGCAACTAGTAAGTATTGATTGATTTATAGCTTGATCAACTAGCAGGATAAATATAAATTTGATTTTTTCAAAATTATATTCCAAAACAACAATATAGCCTATTATAGGCCAAATGGAATACTTAGACCCATTCCCCAAAAGCCTGCTCCTAAGGTGTGTTGCTAGCAACCTATTTACAGTACAACCAATATAGAAAAATAAGAGACGAAGAAGAATAGAACAAAAGACAAGAAAATGTCAGGAAATGGTAGAAGAAAATGAGAAAGAGAAATAATTTCGAAAATACCATCTCAAGATAAAAGAGAGGCAGTTTATAAAGAAACACCAGGTATGAATAAAAACCTAGGTTCTTCCAAGACATATTGAGTAATTATGTATTAAACATTTTCTCTTTCTCTCAGCTTCAATTTCTCATTTGTGAACATAAATATAGCCCTACATCATCTCTAAGATAAATTTTTCCATAGAAACCAACTCAAATGGCATCTGCTTCCTCAAACTTCTCAAACAAAAATCCAAGCGCTGGATATCTGGACAATTTTCTCTATTAATTCTATTGTCTTTCAAAACATCAAAATCTCTATATAAATAAATGAAACGCTCCCCTCCAATCTCCTTAAGCCACCCATGCTAGAAAGAATGAAACACTTAAGAAACTTTTTATAACAAAACTTCTAATAAAAAAGGAAATTAAAAAAATTAAAGCCTAAATTTGTACATAGAAATATGAATCAGCAACATATGTGAAACATTTGTTAGAAATGTAAATAGTTCATGCCTCCTGGGAATACATACTAACCTACACTCCAGAAACAGACTGACTATTTATAATCCCAATGCAGTATGCACTATTGAGGCCTACAGGGAAGGTTTAAAGCTGGATTTTTCAACAAGGCTCACAAGTCCTGAGGTTAAATACACATGAATTACGGATGTTTAATCCAACTTAAGATACCATCTTTTCATATTTAAAGCAGTTTCCCTTATACAGAAAAAATACAAAATACATGAGCTGGTCCTAACAGAAGCTCCTGCAGAGGTAATATAAAAATCCATTTTTTTTTTAACCATTTAAACTCACACCGTGCTGACTTTCATTTCCAATACATATAATATGTCCTGATAAAAACCAGGATACTTTTATGGAGCAAAAAAGCTGTAAAAACAAGAAAAACCTTCATATTTGTTACATATTTAAAAAAATTTAACAAACACTATTGATCAAATGTAATTAGGACTGGCTACATAAAATGCAAAAAAGGTATTTTTTTGTGTGTATAAACACACATAAATATGTATATACACAGAGAAATAAAACAGTTAAACAGTTTCTACCTGTTTTTGTGTACTTCCTTTTCAGATATTGTTCGCTTAGAGTCTTGGCCTCTGTTACTGTCTAACTTGAATTCACAAAACTCAATGGCTCATGGTTTTCAAAGCTTAGGCCAACGTTTGCAGAACAAAGTCGCTTTCTCTCTCTCTCTCTTTTTTTTTGGTGGGTACAAGTATGGGGACCACAGGAACAGTTAAATTCATGGCATGGCTGGTCTACCACACAGTCGGGGGAATTCTTTAAATAGAGCCTGTCACTCTCTTGGCCCATCAATGGGATTTCCTTCTCGAACTGCTGATTCGTTCAGGTACACAACAGAGGAAATTTCAGTTAACCTTTGTTTCACCCCAGGGAAAAATCTGTCTGAAAGTATAAAATGAATAGATTAAAAAAAAAAAATAAGCAGCTCAGCCACAGGGCCATTCTCTGAGTGTTCACAGCAGCTTAAGTTAAACAGTAAAAAGGGCAGTGGAATGTTTCATTCCCAATGGAAAATTCAAGCACAATATAGAACTTGGGAATCTAGTTAGTCAGAGTTTATTTTGATGACTAAACCAAACCAACTGTCCTTTCTGTTTTAATAAACTGGAAAATTTCCCTTCTGATAATTTTATAAGAGTCAGAATTGTTTTTCTCTTATATCACCATTATTACTATGATCTAACTGAGGTGCCTATAACAAAACTGCATACTAATTCTTCTCCCCAAAAAAGTGACTCTTAGAAATATTTTCAAATAAAAGTATATTATTAAAGTCATAATAGGAAAACAGGAAAAAGAGGGGTCAAATAAATTAGAGCCCTGTGAAATTCTCCCCTATTATTCTTTTCAAAATAGAAAATTCAAGTAAGAAAGGACAAAAGGAGGAGCCCACTTTTCCATTTTAAAGTTTTCTGTTTTCAAACAATAGGAGTACTTGAAGAGGCTATAGTTAGATGTAGATATGTAAAATCTTGGGGTATGGAGCAAAAATACAGAAAGTTTAATTTACAATTTGTTTTCTCCTGAAACTATGGGAACTTAGATTATATACATTTTTCTACAACAATGAACATAAATTTTAGGATGTGCTGGATAGACATTGACTACCTATCTTTATTTCTCCCAAATTATGTCTGAACTCCATGAAAGAGAAAAGTATTGTGCTGTCAATATTTTTCATACATATTATCCCATTACTATTCTTATCTACTGACTGCAAGCAACTACGCCAACTCAATATAATATCAAGAGCACACACGGGTATAAAAACAACAGAAAAGAAAACAATTGAATTTAATACCATCCTAAGTCTCAACCCAAGAGGAACTATTAGTAGTAGCATGATTGAGTTGCTTCAACACCTTTCTCCCCATCCCACCCCACCCCACATCTCCATCTGGCATTCTACTAATTTGGAGGCTACTCTTGCCTCTGGAACAAATGCCATTTTCATTAAAAAAAAAAAAAAAAAAAAAAGATTCAGGTCTTCTTGACTCTTTTCTTACCCCCTCACTCCCCCCGCCTTTTTTTTAAGCCAGAGCCAGGCTGGAGTGCAGTGGCAAAAACATGGCTCACTGATGCTTCCATGTAGCTGGGGCCACAGGAGCACACAATCACACCC